>NC_000020.11:975425-1126941 GCF_000001405.40 Homo sapiens | reverse complement strand
GGAAACCTAGCCTTAAACCTGTTTCAATGAGCTATCCTGGTTCTTTTTGTTTTGTTTTGTTTTGAGACAGAGGCTTGCTCTATTGCCCAGGCTGGAGTTCAGTGGCACGATCTCAGCTCACAGCAAACTCTGCCTCTTGGGTTCAAGGGATGCTCCTGCCTCAGCCTCCCAAGTAGCTGGGATTACAGGCACCCACGACCACGCCCGGCTAAGGTTTAAAAATATTTTTAGTAGAGACAGGGTTTCACCATATTGACCAGGCTGGTCTCAAACTCCTGACCTCAAGTGATCCACCTGCCTTAGCCTCCCAAAGTGCTGGGATTACAGGTGCGAGCCACTGCGCCTGGGTGATCCTGGTTCTTTTAATAAACCCTTTTTGCTTAAACTAACCCAAGAGGTTTTTGTTGTTTGAAACCAAGAACCCTATCTGACACGAGATCTAAATGTTCATCAAAAGGGAAAGGAATAAAGAAATTATGGTGCTATGAGAAACTATATAATAGTTAAAACAAATAAGGTATATCTATATGTATTTCCATGTCAAGGTCTTGCCTCCAAAACACCGAGTGAAAAAAAAGCAAAGTGCAGTATAATACATACAGCAGGATACTTCTACATGGTCACACCCAAACCACTAAGAAAAAAGTTAACAAAAGGAAAGTCACTGTCCTTGTGGCACTTATAGTCCCATGGCAGAATAAAAGCAAAGCACAAATAAGTACACAATTACAAGCTGCAATGAGTGTCAGGCAGGAAAATAAAATGATGGCGTAAAGAGACATAATTTAGATTTTTTTGGGGAGTAGGACTGGGTAGTCAGAACTGAAATTTTTGAGGAAGTCAAAAATGAAAGAGAATTGTCCAGGATGAAGGAATGGTGAAGGGCTGTGTGAGTGGCAGATGGGGGAGGGGAAGAGCCTTCCAGCATAGGAAATGTAAAGTGCAAGGGCTCCAAGGCAGCAAAGAATTCAATTTATTTAAGGAACTGAAGTAGCCCATTGGGGTTACCTAAGTTTTTCCCTTCTATCTTGTCACTGAATAGATTTACCTTATTTAACCATTCCCCTGTTGACAGAAAGCCCCTCCTTCTTAATTCCAGGTGGTGGATACCTTTGTGCACGAAGGTTTTCTATACTTAGGGTTCTCACCTTAAGATAAAGTTCCAGAAGTGGGATCACTAGGTAAGGGCTACATGAACATTGAAGCTCTGGATTCGTACCGTTAAATGGGTTTCAAAACAGCCATTCCTATCCCCATCTCATCAGCAGACTCACGTGTCCCAGAGACTCACCAGCACATTGAGGATCATGCTGCTCTCCACGGTGATGGCTTTCACAAGGAGCTTTCTGGACCCATCCTTATACTCATACCGGAGGACATACAGGTCTTTATTGTTGTTCCACCCAGCTGGCAGCAGTTCTGACTTCTTATCATTGGGACCCGGCTGGGAAGACCACAGTTGAGAGGAGAAAGATCATGAACTCAAAACACAGAACTATAAAGAACCTCACGAGATAAGCTAATCTTACCCACCTCACTTCACAGATGAAGATGTGGAGGTCAAGAGAAATGACTTGCCCAAGATCCTACAGCGAGAGAGAGGTCTAGGGCCCAGGTCTCTGGGCTTCTGTTCTACTGCGCTCTCCCTCATATTGAGCTACCTTTCTGACACAGCACTGGAACCTGTCAAGAATCTGCAGTGTTGGTTTAATAATTATCTCTTCCCCATCCCACTGCTAAGAATAAAGCCAGTCATCTTGAGGAACACTGCGAAGTTCTAAGTAGTGTTTTTCAAAGTTTGGACGTTAGGCTAACTTCAATAGGATTACCAAGGTGTTGACTAAAAACACAGATCCGAATACACGCTAACTGACTGCAGTGATGTACAAAAATTATAATTTCATAATACACAAAATGTAGCACATGTACAAATAACAAAGAATTATAAAATGTCTCTACCACCAGCTTAAGAAATAGAACATCAGCAATACTGCTAAAGCCTTGGGTAGCATACTCCAATAAATGTCCCTCCTTCCCCTTCAAGGGTAATCACCACTCTTAAACAATTTCTTTACTTTTCCTTAGAGTTATATTACTATACATGCAACCATAAAAATATAGCTTCAAATGTTTTTGAATTTTAAATACACAGCATCACTTCCGTCATTTGCCTTTTTTATTTGATAGTTTTTGGAAATGTATCCATGTCAATGCATTTAACTACAGCTGATTCACATTCACAGCTACACAGCATTCTGTATGACTATGCTGCAATTTATACATCTACTTGTTGATGGTGATTTGGAGTATTTCCAGCTTATTTGTTTTGCTATTATAAACAATGCTGCTATGAACATTCTTGTACACATCTGGTACACGTGGATAAATTTCTATACAGTATGCATGGAGGAAAAGCTTTTAATTTATAAGATAAAGTCAAGTTGTTTTCTAAAGAGTTACTGATTTATACTCCCACTAGCAATGTATGAAAGCTCCTGTTGCTCCGTGTAGTTGGCAACATTGCTATTATTGCTTGCCAATCTAGTAGGGGTAAAATGCTTGCCATTTTCATGCTTGTCAGCCTGGTGGGTGTAAAATACATCTTTTATTGTGAGTTGTGATGTCTTCCTCTTTTCTTTTTTAAAAATCCTAAGACTTTCCATACTAAAGTTTGAGAAATAGTTCTCAAATTATTTCTACAGGAAAAATAATATAGTGATTTCTAGGTGGGGAAGATTTCTTAAACAAGATCCATAAAAGAAAATGCTGCCTTTGACACTGTTCATAATTGAAAGCTTCTGTTCTACAGAGACACTACTAAATTAATAAGGAGCCACAGGCTAGGAAGAGACATTTGCCATGGCTGCAAAGGAAAGAAATTAATAACCTCTACATAAAGGGAATGCCTGGAAAATGAACAATAACAATTGGGAACTCCAAAAAGTGGCAAAAGATATGAACAAGAAAAAGAGCGGCTAATAGTGTCTAAAGAGTTATTCAATTTTACTAGCAATCAGAGAAGCAGAACTGAAATAATGAGACACTAAGTTACATGATTCGGACTGTTATTACCCAGTTTTCTATTTTTTGCCAGATGTCTGTGTAGGTGTGGGGAGAATGGGAACCTCCAGTCCCTGCTGGTGGGCATTTAAACTTGCACAGCCCCTTCGGGGAGCAATCTGACAGTTTTTAGTGCAATTAGATGAGCCAATATCCTATGATCCAAAATCCCTACTCCCAGAAGAAACCCTGTGCACAGGGTACATAACAAAGGATCTTCATTATAGCCTTGGCTAAGGTAGCAAAAGTGGAGATAAAATGCAAAATATGCTTATAGTGGAATACTATATAGCAGTCAGAAGGAATAAACCAGATCTAATGATAGTATTATATATAAAAGAAAAAATATGATTTAAAGAAAAGTTCCCCAAAAAATGAGGTTTACACTCCAGTACCACTTATGTAAAAATTTTAAAAAGCACAAAAAAATGCTATAATCTTTTTTCATGGATGTATATTTATATTGCTCACCATGGGGCAGGTGGACTGGGAAGATCTGTAGTCATGAGAATACAGCGGGAGGGAGTGGGACCGGAGATGAAGAAAATGGAAAAGACAAAGGTCCAGCAAAGCAAAACTTCACACACCAAGGACAAGGGGAGACCACACATTGAGAATTGCTGGCCTCTCCTGTTTCGTCACCCCTGGTGCTCAGAAATCCTCTGGGGAAAGAGATCCCAAATAAAATTCAGGATGTCGCAACTGTCATGGTTTAAAACCTGGCTGGATGACAATGAAATTCATAGGCCTGAAGCATAGAAATGAGAGTGAGGAAAAACAAAAGTAAAACTAATCAAACCATTCTTCTGCGAAAAAGAAACTATCCCCTCACCCCAAACTGGGTAAATTTCCCGAATATGTTTAGTGTTTAGTGTCGTGGATTTGTTTACTTTGGAAGCCAGGAATTTGATGACATCCTCATCTTTGCTCTGGCAAACGCCTTTAAATTTATATTATATCCTCCATGTACAGCATTCAATCCACCAGAGTTCTCTCTTGGAATATAAACAATTTGGTCTGCTCACCACCCCATCACCTTTGGCTTCCAGAGTTACAGAAAATCCCTGAAGTCAGGTGAAACTGATATCTCTAACTGCAGTGCAATTGATGTTCCCCAGTAAACAGAGGACAGACCCTGGCGATATCAGGCCAAACATGGTCTGCAACTGCCCTGTAAACCCTGACATCAAATATCAAGAGTCCCAGAAAGCCACAGTTGGAAAGTAGCCTAAGTACACAGTCACGTGGTTTAACTTCCTCTGATGAAAAATCAAAGGCCTGAGGCTGAGCGCGGTGGCTCTTGCCTGTAATCCCAGCCCTTTGGGAGGCAGAGGCAGGCAGATCACTTGCATTCAGGAGTTCGAGACCAGCCTGGCAAACATGGTGAAACCCTGTCTCTACTAAAAATACAAAAAAAATTAGCCAGGCATGGTGGCGGGGACCTGTAATCCCAGCTACTGAGGATGCTGGGGCAGAATTGCCTGAACCCAGGAGGCAGAGGTTACAGTGAGCCAAGATAGCACCACTGCACTCTAGCCTGAGTGACAGAGTGAGACATCTCGGATTAAAAAAAAAAAAAAAAAAAAGAAAAGAAAAAGAAAAAGAAAAGAAAACTCTAAGGCCTGAGATGGTCAGAGAGCTGCCCAAGGTCTCAGCAAGTCAGGTGTAGGGCTGTGCTTGGAATTCAGAGCTCCTGATTGCCCAGGCTATGGCTAGAGAAGGTTTTTCCCAGCCAGGTCCACAAGACTGGCCCTAAGAGAATAAAGATAATTGTCTTCTTAGGCAAAATCCTGGCACTGGAAGCATTCTTTAATGGCCATGAATTTGCCCCAATGCCTCTGAACTAAAATTCACCCAAAGAAACTTAAACAGATCATTTTGGGCATTTTCTCTCTTTCATCATAATCCTTAGATTTCCCACAACAGAAAACAAAATTCTCTAACTTATGTCGATAACCACCTAAGTCATCCCTTACCTATCCCCTTGGCACCCAAACCACTTGACAAAGCTGTAAAGTTCTTGTGAGGAGTGGTTCTGACTTCAAGAAAGAAATCCAAATTCAAGTATTGGATTTTTGTTGAAGCCAGTGGCTGCACTGGTTTTCTAATCAAGTTTTATGTACACAATTCCCCTGTAACAGAGGAAGCAAAACCTAAGAGAAAGCAGACAATCTAGCTTTCCATTTAACTGTCAACTTGTATAGTCAAGCATACACTCTTGGGACCTTCCTCTCCTTCTTATCACCCCCAGAAGGGTGGAAACAGCAGATGGCTGGAGAGGCAACACAAATATCCTCTGAGCTTGGAAAACACAATTGAGTCAGCTGAGTTGGCTGGCCCCAGGCTGAAAAATTAAACCTCTTCTTAAATAAACTAATAGGAAAGATGCCTCTCCAGTTTCCACTCTGAATGAAAGTAGACTCAGCAGAAGCGACAGAAGGACAAGTGCAACCTGAGCCCCAATGGCAATCAAGGAGAAAAGGCAGAGAGAAGCAAAAATACACCACACTCTAGTTTGCAATCCAAACACTCATTCCTTCGGGGGCATGCAAGATTTAGTGCTGGGGTAGATAGAGGAAAGGTGGCAATGCCTTACAAAAACCTAATTCCCCAGGCTCCTGGGCCTCCCCAAAGATGTCTGAAACCAGCATCTTTTTCTGGCCTGCAGAAGCTCAACGAATAGCACCATGAACAGAGAAAAATTAGATGGACCTTGGGGAATTGGTCAAGGACCTTTTTAAAAAAAAAAAAAACTATTAAAATGAGATTGTATTCTTTCTGTACATTTCATCTGAAAATTTTGGAGCCTTGAGTGTATGGCAAGGTGGTAATGCCAGCTAGAAGGTATCGACTTATGTGAACTCATGTCCCTAAACTGTCAAAGTGATTCAGACAGCATGAGTGAGGGTAAGAAATGTAGGAGCAGATCCACAGTGATTGATATTTATTTGTGGAATGGCAAGGAGAGAAGGGTATCAGACACGCCCTCTAGAACAAGTTCCTCAGCAGAGGTGGATGGGGTTCTGACAGTGTGGCAGAGTCTAAGTAGCTAGCTAGGAGTAGGTAAGGGGAGTGAGGTACATGAGGAGGGACAGAGTGCAAAGCAGAGCTGTTCCATCTGAAGGACAAGACAAAGGGCAGGGGGAGCTGAGGGCCAATGGAGGAGATCCCAGGTCAAAATCAAATCTTACTCCTCTTCTCAGCCCCACTGTCCCCTGCACCATCCCACATACCAGTTTCTTTGAAGAATCTAGGAAAAGTTGAAATAAAATGACTGGGGCAAGTGAAGAGCTGCTTAAGATTAAAAAGCTGGAGTAAGACAAGTGGGGAGACAAGATTTCTGTTAGGGGAACTATGCATTGAAAGAGGGGCCTGACGCTGAAATGGGGGTGCTGTCTCTACCTGGTCCCAAGGTCTGAAATGCTGGAAGACATTTGGAAGGTATGTGGAATGAAGAGCAGCACAAAGAGAAAGGTCAGGGACAGATGTGTTTGGGAAGGTGAAATGATTCCTGCTTCCAGGTATGTGTGTGTGAAAGGCTAGCTGTTCTTTTCCATCCTCATATCTAGTCTTAGAGCCCATTTGAGAGATGAAGTATGTGTGAGTTTGGAGGTGGGAATGGGGATCCTGAGTGTGTACCTGGGGTCCCAGTGAGATAATTGAGGTCTGGGGAAAAAAAGAGCCAGAAATCCCTGACGGTTCTTGTGTTCTGATTCCTGCTGGAGGGGGTAAAGTGTGAGAGGGGTATGGTGGTCTTGGTCTTTAGTTCTAAGAGACAGAGAGGAATAGGGACAGCAGTGAGGGGTGGGGGAAAGGGGATACTTGTCTAAGTGCTCAGAATGTACAAAGCAAGTTTGAAGAGAGGTCCCTAAAGCTATGTCAGGAGGGGAGAATTAAGACTCTATTTGAGAAGCTAAAAAAAATGATTAGAGGAGTTGAGAACTGAAGCAGTCAAAAAGGAGAGGAAGGGTGAAATCTCATGGCAAGATGCAATAGGTGGGGTGGTCTGTTTCCCATGGCTAGTCTTGGTTCTGAGAGTGAGAGAACAGTGACAGTGAGGGGCAGGCATGGAGGCAGGCCCACTTCTCCCAGGAAGCAGATGTCTAGGATGATGTGGATGTTGGGGATGAGGGTCACAGGGAAGAGACAGGAAAGAAAGAAGAATGCCAGAGCAAAGAATTAGTGAGGTGGGTTGGGTCCAGCAGTCCTAGAACTCTGTGGGGATGACAACGACGTCCCTAGCTGTAAGAGGTGGAGCCTGGGGATGGGAGAAGAGGGGCTGGCCCTATGGGGACAACTATGAGGAGAAAATCTTATATGACCCTCACACCCAGGGTGTATGTGTGTACGACTCTGGGGGTGATTGCTTCCTAGAGCTTGAGTTGGGGATGGCAGTAGCGAGTGGACTATGCTGGGCCCTTCAGTAAAGGGTGAAAGGCGTGTGAACTCTCTGGGCCCATGCTAACGGGTGAAAAAAGGGCCCTGGCCTGGGGCTGAGTAGGTCAAAGCTCACTCCTGTACCTGTGCTTGGATCCAGATGTTTGGTGGAGGCTCTACTGTGGTATGAGGGCGGAACTGAGTCAGTCCCCTCACCCCGAGGCTGGGTGGTAAGGAGTTCAGACGGGATCAGGTGGGTGAGAAGTGCTCTGGGGAGCTAAACTCCTGTCTAGATTCTTTGCCATTCTATGGAATGCTAGATCCACACAGTCCTGGCCTGAGAGGCTGCCAGGCTGTGTTGAAGCGAGTGTCCGCCCTTGAGTTTACAAATCATGTTGTGCCAGCTGTGCCGTGAGGGACTCTGGGCTGGGATGGGGCAGGTGAGCAACCTCCGACCCGCAGGTTTTACCAACGCTGCCATCTGCCCCAGACCCTGCACTGGGAGAAGCGGGGAAATCGGGCGCTCTGGACCAGGCCTCCGGTACTCTGAGTTTGGGCAGAAGACAGTTCCCTCCTCCACCCTGGCCGGCTCCGTGGCGTACCTGGTCACCGACACCCAAGCCGAAGTAACCGTGTGTCACCACTTCCCAATGCAAGAAGCAGACGAGCGCGTCCTGCCTGCAGGTGATGGCCGGCGCTGCCGATGCGAACAGTACCTCCAGGCCCGCCATGAGCGCCCGCGACTTCGGCGTCTGGAGGAAAGAAGGGGGCGGGGGTAGTGCAGTGAGCCGGCTCCGCGGCCGGGGTAGCTATAACTCTGCTTCCCTCTTGCGCTGGTTCTTGCCGAGTCCACACCTGAGACCAAAATGGAGACGCCCGGGGACGGGGCGGGGCGGGGAAGCCGGAAGTAGTCCCAACAGCGGGCGCAACTGCGTGAGGCGCGCCGGGTTGGCAACGCGAGCGCAGCACTGAAAGGTTCCGCCAGGGAGTGCGAGCGGGGCGTGGCCCCTCAAAGCCGGAAGCCGGGTCTTGGCGGCAGTCGACAGGATCGCCTGACGCGGGCACAGCGTCCTCCAAGAGGCCACCTTGCTGAGAGGCAGACTTCCCATCCACAAAATGGGGTATGCTAGGCCGGGGAAGGGGCTGGGAAATGTGGCTAAAATACATTCTTAATAATCGTTAACACGTTCGCCGTGCTTGCTACCGTCCACATTATTCTAAACGCTTTACTTGTATTCATTTATTTAATCTTCACAACCCAACTCTATGCAGTTGATATTAACGATTAATGTGCCTCATTGCACAGATGAGGAAACTGAGGCGCAGAGGGATAATTTGACCAAGATGACAACAGCCAGCCGGTGAACGGCTGAAATGGTTATGGGAACCTGGCAGTCTGGCTTCTAAGATAACATTTATTAAGTGTTTATTGTGTGCTACATCGTGCGCTAAAACCTTTACATCACCCTCTCAACAACTCTATGAAGTATGGACCGTTATTATCCCCATTTTGCAGATGACAAAACGGCTCAGAGTTGAAACCACTTCTCCAAGGAGACACAACTGCTGCCCGCAGAGCTGAAGCTCCTGACCCACTATCAAATTTCAATCATTTATTTGCCTACCCCCTTTATGATTTTTACCACCCGTTACTTCAACAAGTTTCATGAAATCCACTTATTGTTTTTACCCAAATAAATTTAGTTTCCCCATCCCAGTCACTAACCTGGTTCAAGCTCCTGTCATCTTTCACTTGGATGCCTGGCATCAGCCTCAGAACTGCCCCATTCCATTCCTGTCTCTCTCTAGTCTGTACTGCACTCCGCAACCAGAGAGATTCTGTTAGAAAACAAGTCAGATCGGCCAGGTGTGGCGGCTCATGCCTGTAATCCCAGCACTTTGTGAGGCCGAGGCAGGCGGATCACTTGAGGTCAGGAGTTTGAGACCAGCCTGGCCAACATGGTGAAACCCTGTCTCTACTAAAAATACAAAAATTAGCTGGGTGTGGTGGCGCACGCCTTTAGTCCCAGGTACTCGGGAGGCTGAGGCATGAGAATCAATCGAACCCGGGAGGTGGAGGTGGAGGTTGCAGTGAGCCAAGATCGCACCATTGCACTTCAGCCTGGGCAACAGAGCGATCTTCTGTCTCAAAAAAGAAAAAAAAAAAAAAAGAAAAGTCAGATCACATCCGTTGGCTCAAAATCGTCACACTCAATGGAAAAGTAAAGTCCTCCCCATGGTCTGCAGGAATCTGCATGTGGTCTGCCATCTCCTGCCCCAGCCCTGCCAGCCCTGTACCTCTCTGATTCAGTCTCCTTCAACTGTCCTCTCATCCCCTTTATACGTGCAATAACCTTGGCTCCCCCTCTTCTCTCACATCTACATCTGGTCCAACAGCAAAGCTAGTTGACTCCACTCTCAAAATATATTATGAATCTGACCACTTCCCATCACCTTCACTGCTTCCACTCTGGTCTGATCCTCCAGCATCTCACACTTAGACTATTGCAGTAGCTTCCCAGCCAGTTTCCCTGTTTCATGTGTTCTGTTTGGGCCTTTGCGTTCCTCTTCCTGGAATGCTCTTTTCCCAGATATCTGCATGTCTTGCTTCTTCATTTCAAGTGGCTTCATCCCTCACTCCTACCATCCTCAACAGAGGGCTTCCCAGACCATTCCATCCAAAATAACCTTCTCCCGTCTTTAATCCCTCTCTGGCTTTTTTTTTTTCCTGCAAAGCATTAATCATAACCTGAAACTATGTTAGGTGTTTATTTCTTTGCTTATTTAATGACTGTCTTTCCACTAGACTGTGACAAAGGAACAGGGAGCATGTCTACCTTGTGCACATATGTACCTGAGTGCCTTCTGGGATCAATCTATACTTATTGAAAGACAGAATGAATACTGAATGAAGGAATGAATTCTTGGCCTAGCCCCAACCCAGTCAGGGCACTCTTACCTCTTTATAGTCCATCACTCCCTTTGTCAGCTGGCCCTGTGCCTCTCCAAATTTTGTGTTCCTAAAGTTTCCTTGAGACAACCAGATTCTTGAACCCCTTCTGCAGAGATTCTGGATGAGAAGGTCTGAGGAAGAGTGCATGTATGTTGACTACATTCTGGATGACACTAAAGCTAGTGGCTGTGGAACTCCTCTCTGAGATGTACTGCCTGTGGCATAAAGCTATTTGCCCTTTCTACTGAGAAGTTCTGCACTTTCAGTCTTCCCTGCTTTTGCTTGCTCTGTCCCTTCTGTTTGTAATGCCCTTATCCAATTATGGAAAATTTCTACAGATTCATTCCATCAATAAACTTTCATAGGCTGGGCTGCCATGAACCATAGTGCAGGGTGTCCACTTAAGGTGCCTACTTAGTGGCAGCCCATTCCTAAGTGCCTACTGTGGGCCAGACACAGATGAACAGGTTCCTGTCCCTATAGAGCTCACTGTCTAGTGTTTAAAAAAAAAAAAAAGTACTGGCCAGGCATGGTGGCTCACACCTGTAATCCCAGCACTTTGGGAGGCTGAGGCAGGTGGATCACGAGGTCAGGAGTTCAAGACCAGCCTGGCCAACATGGTGAAACCCTGTCTCTACTAAAAATACAAAAATTAGCCGGGCGTGGTGGCAGGCACCTGTAATCCCAGCTATTCGGGAGGCTGAGGCAGGAGAATCGCTTGAACCCGGGAGGTAGAGGTTGCAGTGAGCCGAGATCAAGCCACTGCACTCTAGCCTGGGTGATAAAGAGAGACTGTCTCAAAAAAAAAAAAAAAGTGGATTAAGGATCAAAAGGTGTTCCAGTAAAAGGAAACAGTATGTGCAAAGGCATGGTGGAATGCAGCTAGCTCTGTGGGATTACAAGGTCAATGTTGCCTCCTGAGTGAGGTTTCCCTCGTCTCTTTGCCCATGATTAATTGCACTTTCCTCAGTGTGCTTGGCATCAGTGGGCTTTCAAGGGGTGGGCATGGGACAGTGAGAGCTATCAGCCTTAGTCAGGTGGAGAATTTTATCAATGAAGTTGATTCAAATTGCTGGTACATGATGACAGTAAAAAGTGGACTGGCCTTTGGTCTGTTTTGTTACTGCCTTTACGTTTTCTACAGCAAATGTACCTACTCCTTGTCTGCACCAGGGCAGACAGCTCCGTCACCCCCACCCCTTGGTTCAACACTGGTTTGCATACAGTTGGTTGTAGCTGGCATCTTACAGGGCAGACAGCTCCGTCACCCCCACCCCTTGGTTCAACACTGGTTTGCATACAGTTGGTTGTAGCTGGCATCTTACAGGGCAGACAGCTCCGTCACCCCCACCCCGTGGTTCAACACTGCTTTGCATACAGTTGGTTGTAGCTGGCATCTTACAGGGCAGACAGCTCCGTCACCCCCACCCCTTGGTTCAACACTGGTTTGCATACAGTTGGTTGTAGCTGGCATCTTACAGGGCAGACAGCTCCATCACCCCCACCCCTTGGTTCAACACTGGTTTGCATACAGTTGGTTGTAGCTGGCATCTTACAGGGCAGACAGCTCCGTCACCCCCACCCCTTGGTTCAACACTGGTTTGCATACAGTTGGTTGTAGCTGGCATCTTACAGGGCAGACAGCTCCGTCACCCCCACCCCTTGGTTCAACACTGGTTTGCATACAGTTGGTTGTAGCTGGCATCTTACAGGGCAGACAGCTCCGTCACCCCCACCCCTTGGTTCAACACTGCTTTGCATACAGTTGGTTGTAGCTGGCATCTTACAGGGCAGACAGGTCCGTCACCCCCACCCCTTGACACTGGTTTGCATACAGTTGGTTGTAGCTGGCATCTTACAGGGCAGACAGCTCCGTCACCCCCACCCCTTGGTTCAACACTGGTTTGCATACAGTTGGTTGTAGCTGGCATCTTACAGGGCAGACAGCTCCGTCACCCCCACCCCTTGGTTCAACACTGGTTTGCATACAGTTGGTTGTAGCTGGCATCTTACAGGGCAGACAGCTCCGTCACCCCCACCCCTTGGTTCAACACTGCTTTGCATACAGTTGGTTGTAGCTGGCATCTTACAGAACACTGGTTCCCTCTTCTACACCATCATCCCTGTCTTAACATGTATTCTCTCAGAAGCCCGTGGTGAGACAGGGATTTGAGTGGTTTATTTGGGAGCTGATTCCAGGAAATAGCGGTGGGGGCAGTGGAGTAGGGAAGTGAGACAGGAAGGAAAGGGAGCCAGCAGAGGGAGTGTGATGAAGCCAGTTACCTCTACGGGCAACTGGACCGCACTCCTACCCGGGAACTCTGGGAGGCAGTGTGGGGCATGTCTCAGAGCTATTGCATTTGAGGGCATCTGCCACAGGCTGAGAGCTGCTTCTGGGGTCCTGGAAGGCCCTCAGGCACAGAGTTGCATAATTTAGAGAAAGCAGTCTTTGCGTCTAGAGGTGACTGCTGAAGGGTGATGAGGGTGTTGTAGTGCGATCTGCTCTGTCCTCCCACACCCCTGACCGGGGGTAAGCCATGCCTTAGAAAGTCCGTAACCCAGGCCGGGCGCGGTGGCTCACGCCTGTAATCCCAGCACTTTGGGAGGCTGAGGCGGGCGGATCACGAGGTCAGGACATCGAGACCATCCTGGCTAACACAGTGAAACCCCGTCTCTACTAAAAATACAAAAAATTAGCCGGGCGTGGTGGCGGGCACCTGTAGTTCCAGCTACTCGGAGGCTGAGGCAGGAGAATGGCGTGAACCCGAGAGGCAGAGCTTGCAGTAAGCTGAGATCGCGCCACTGCACTCCAACCTGGGCGACAGAGCGAGACGCCGTCTCAAAAAAACCAAAAAACAAAAAAAAAGAAGAAGAAGAAAGTATGTAACCCAGCAGCCAGCATGGAATAGGCACTGGCATCAGTGTATTGAAAGAATGAGGTGAGCTCTATCTCTTGCACTAGGCTGTGAATCCCCTGAAGGCCAGGACTATGTTCCACCTGTCCTGAACCCCAGGGTCCTCCAGGGATGGGAACAAATGGGAGGAACTCCTGGGGCTGGTGTGTGTGTGTGTGTGTGTGTGTGTGTGTGTGTGTGTGTGTGTGTGTTGCCCCTGATCCATCCAGCACTTTCTGTGGACTTACCTACATCAGCAAGAGTCCCATTCTGCCCTATGAGGGCTGTGGGTGGCTGAGAAGGGAAGCAGGTGGCAGGTGCCTCCCTGTCTGGGCCCCCACTACCAAGAGCCTATGCCAGAGGTGAGGGCCCAGGATGATGGAAAGAACTTGGCTGGTGGCTGCAGCCACCAGTTCCTGGTTGCCAAGTGACAGCAATGTGGGTATTCCAAGCTCCCTGCCTCCCTGGAAACCATGAAGAACTGAACCAAGGGGCAGCGCCTAGATGGGCACTGAGGCGAAATCGTTCACTACTGTAATTCTTCTTTGGCCTAGCATCAGCCCAACCGTATCACCTCCTCCAGGAAGCCCTCTATGATTAATATTGTTCTTTGTTTCTACCAAGTAGCTGATATCCAAGACTTCCCAACTTCCCATTCCCCTTGTCCGTGGGGTACCTAGCATATTTGACACCCATAGCAGATATCTCTTTTTTTTAAAAAAATGATAATTTTTAGGCTGGGCATAGTGGCTCATGCCTGTAATCCCAGCACCTTGGGAGGCGGGCGGATCACAAGGTCAGGAGATCGAGACCATCCTAGCTAACACGGTGAAACCCTGTCTCTACTAAAAATACAAAAAAATTAGCCAGCCGTGGTGGCAGGCACCTGTAGTCCCAGCTACTCGGGCAGCTGAGGCAGGAGAATGGTGTGAACCCAGGAGACAGAGCTTGCAGTGAGCCGAGATCATGCAGCTGCACTCTAGCCTGGGCGACAGAGCGAGACTCCGTCTCAAAAAAAAATAAAATAAAATATATATTTTTTGTAACTCTGTTAGTTTTTTGAAGTTTTTTATTGTGGTAAAATACACATAGCATAAAATTGATCATCGTAATCACTTTAGGTCTACAGTTTAGTGATATTAACCACACTGTTTTCCACGGAGGCTGCACCATTTTACATTCCCACCAACAGTGCACAAGCGTTCCAATTTGTCCACCTTCTCAGCAACACTTGTTATTTTATGTTTGTTTTGTTTTGTTTTCATAGTAGCCATTTAGCCATTCTAATGAGTATGAGGTGGTATCTTTTATTTTTTAAATAGAGATGGGGTTTCGCCATGTTGCCAAGGCTGGTCTTAAACTCCTGAGCTCAAGCAATCCACCCGTCTCAGCCTCCCAAGTGCTGGGATTACAGCCGTGAGCTACCATGCCCAGCCAGTGGTATCTTATTATAATTTTGGTTTGCATTTCCCTAATGATTAGGGATGCTGAGCAACTTTTGATGTACTTATTGGCCTTTTGTATGACTTAGGAGAATGTTTGTTCAAGTCCTTTACCCATTTTTTAACTGAGTTGTTGGGTTTTTGTTGTTCAATTTTAGGTGTTCTCTGTATATTTTGGATATTATTCCCTTATCAGATATACGATTTGTAAATATTTTCTGCCTTTTTGTGAATTGCCTTTTACTCTGTTGATAGTGTCTATTGATGCACAAAAGCTTTTAATTTTCATAAAGTTCAATTTGCCTGATTTTCCTTTTGTTGCCTGTGCCTTTGATGTCACATCCAAGAAATCACTGCCAAATCCAGTGTTGTGAAGAATTTGCCCTACATTTTCTTCCAAGAGTTTTATATTTTTACGTCTTACATTCAGGTCTTTGATCCATCTTGAGTTCATTTTTATGTGTGGTGTGAAGGAGAGGTCCAGCTTCATTCTTTTTATATGAATATCCAGTTTCCCCAGCATCATTGGTTGAAAAGGCTGTTCTTTCCCTATTGAATGGTCTTGGTGTCTTTGTTGAAAATCATTTGGCCATACATGTGAAGGTTCATTTCTGGGCTCTCTATTCTGTTCCATTGGTCTATATGTCTGTCTTTATGCCAGTACCATAATGTTTTGATTATGTAGCTTTGTAGTAAGTTTTGAAATCAGGAAGTATGAGGATGTCAATGAAGCAGATCACTTTTTAACACCTCCCTCCTCATCTATGAAATTATTTTCAGCAATAACCACATGATAATCAGTAAAAATTATTATTTCCCTGATTCATTCTTCAATGAAAAAATATATATGATTTTTTTTTGAGACAGAGTGTTGCTCTATCACCCAGGCTGGAGTACAGTAGCACGATCTCGGCTCACTGCAACCTCCGCCTCCTGGGTTCAAGAGATTCTCCTGCCTCAGCCTCCCAAGTAACTGGGATTACAGGCACGCACCACCAGGCCCAGCTAATTTTTGTATTTTTAGTAGAGATGGGGTTTCACCATGTTGGCCAGGCTGGTCTCGAACTCCTGGCCTCAAGTGATTCACCTGCCTTGGCCTCCCAAAGTGTTGGGATTACAGGCGTAAGCCACCATGCCTGGCCAAAAACATAATTTATAGATTGTACAACTCCCCCTTTTTAGTGTATAACTCTGAGTTTTGACAAATGCACACAGTCTTATAACCACCGTATTCTCTAGGTATTTCCAGAAAGAAAGGATTTTTAAAAATTCATCTCTATTGAGATAATTTACATACAATAAAATCACCCGTTTTAGTTGTATACTTCATGAGTTTTGCCTAATGTATAGACCAGCGTAACCACCATGACCAAGATATAGCATGTTTACATGACTCCAAAAAATTTCCTCATGTGCCTTGGCAGTTAATCTCTCCAGCCTCTAGCTGAGGTGTGTTAGTCCATTTTGCATTGCTATAAAGGAATACCTGGGACTGGGTAATTTCTAAAGAAAGGCACTGCAGGCTGTCTAGCATGACACCAGTATCTGCTTGGCTTCTGGTGAGGCCTAGGAAGCTTTCAATCATGGTGGAAGGCAAAGGGGAAGCATGCATGTCATATGGAGAAAGAGAAGGGGAGGGAGCAAGGAAGAGGTGCCAGGATCCTTTAAATAACCAGCTCTCACATGAACTAATAGAGTGAGAACTCACTCATTACCATGGGGAGGACACCAAGCCATTCATGAGGAATCTACCCCCATGACCCAAACACCTCCCCCTATGCCCGCTTCTAGCATTGGAGGTCACATTTCAGCAGGAGATTTGGAGGGGACAAAACATCCAAATCATATCACCAGGCAACCACTGATCTGTGTTTTTTGCATCTATATTTTTGGTATCTAATTTTGCCTCTCTTAAAAGTTCATATAAATGAAATGTATACAATGCCCCAGGAAGCAGATGTCAAGATGGAGTTAGCAGTGTTAGAGGTTTATTGGGGATAAGTCACAAAAGGAAAAGGGGAGTGGGAACAGGAGTATGTGGGGAGAACCTTCAGGCCTTTCTGCTGATCTGGCTCCTACAAAAGAAGAGAAGGAAGGAATAAGGATTAGTGAGAAAGTCTCAGCCAGCCCAACGGAGAACTCCAGCACCAAGAAATATCATAGAGAGTTCCCTGTTGGATTGAAATGGCCAGGCCTTAGTGCTGTCTCTGCTCGGTGGGCTGCCCGTAAAGAGCATGGCTTCAGCATGATCCCAGTGGTCCTATGGCCGGAGGACGTTAGCAAACTGCACTCCTCACAGCTGTGTGGCAATTATTTTCTTGAAGGTTTGGCACCCCTCCATAGTTGACACATAAAATAATACCCCTTCATGCCTTTTTTCACTCATCATCATGTCCAAACTTCATCCATGTTGTGTGTATCAGTACCTTCCTTTTTATTGAGTAATATTGTGTTGTATGGATGTGCCAGTTTGTCCAGTCCCTTATTGATGGGCATTTGGGTTGTTTCCAGCTTGGGATGGTGATGAGTAATGCTGCTGTAGACATACATGGACAGGTCTTGGTATGGCCTTATGATTTCACTGGTCTTGGATAAATTCCTAGGTGTAGAATTGCTGGATCTTATGGTAGAGTATATGTTTATAGGAAACTGCCAAATGTGTTCCCAAAATGGTCATACCATTTTCCACACCTGCCAACAATGAATGAGAGCCCTGGTTGCTTGACATCCAGCAGAAGGGGATTTAATGGGAAAAATATGATGCTTACTGAACCAGTGGATGGATTGGAATGTAAAGATTGGGGAAAGCTGCCACCAGCTTTCAGAAAGTCTGGACATTGCAGGAGCTTCAGAAAACCACCAGCAGTGATCACAGCTGCCTCCCATCCTGGGGCAGTCTGTGTGTATGTAGGGTGGTGGGGGGACCTGCAGAGGCTGCTGCCAAACTGAAACCTAAAACTCAAGATTCTGCCACTGCTGTTGGAGAAGCAATAATGTGCCCCTGCCTCTGCCTCCCAGTGGCTGGATCTAACTTGGAACCCAGCTGGCAAGTCATTCTGAAAAATGCACTTGTTAGGTTTCAGGCCTCTGAAATACTAAGGGAAGGCATAAAAGGTGTGAGTGTGAGTGTGTGTGTGTGGTGGGGGTCGGGGGGTAGTACTGGGGCTTTGACAAATTGCTCAATGTATATTGTCTCATTTAATTCCCAGAACAACACTTTAAGGTAGAAACTATTATTATCTTCGCTTTAAAAATGAGAAAAATAAGGGAGAAGTTGTGCCATTGTCCTAAGCAGCAGGGTCAGGATTTGAGCCAGGCGGTCAGCCTGCTTGCCTCCTCATCACAGTGCCATGCCTCCAACAGCATCACTAAGGGCTTGCGGGATTCTGAGCTCTGAGTTTCAAGATCTACACAGGAAAAGCCAAGAGTCATGACGAGGACCATTTTTCAGACCTCAGGGGCAGAAAAGGCTGGGAATAGAAAAAAGGGTCAAGGGTCCAGGCTGGGAACAGAGAAACGATCTAGGCATGGGAAGCTCCTCCAACCACAGGGACACATGAAGAGTCTCTGCAGAGACAAGGGAGGCCACAAGAGGGCACCCTGGCCCACCCAAATGTCCACAGATGGCAGCCACGCAGGGAGAGGCACACTCTCCTCCATCCTGACTTCATTCCACCAGGAGGTTCAGGGGAGCCCTAGACCAGAGCCCCCCCAGCAGGCTCTGTCCACACTGCAATCAGCCTTCACACCTGGAAATACCTGATTTTAGCTCTGGGGATCGTTGCCTTCAGGGAGAGACGGTCCCCAGAGAACCCAAGTCCTTGGAGGCACAGAGGGTCGGTTTCTGAGGCCACTCTCTTTCCTGTACCCCCTACTTCTCTTTGTCTCCATCCTTTCACAGACTTGGGCCTGATCCTTGCCTTGCCCCCATGCCACCCATGTCCAGCTCCAACTCCAAAGTTCCATCAGGCACTTGCCCACCTTGGTCAGGCAGGTGGGAGGGGTGACCAGTATTACCTTGAAAGGCTAGAAGCTCTGCCTGATGCTCCCCAAACCAGAACATCAGCTTCATGAGCACAGGGATTTGTGTCTGTTTGGTTCACTGCTATAGTCCTGGCACCTAGAACAGAGCCTGGCATACATAGTAGGTGCCCAATAAATATGTGATGAGTGAATAAATACATTAGCAGGTGCATAGTGTAGAAAAGTGTCTAGGCCTTGGAGTCAGGGAACCTGGGTTTACATCTCGGCCTCTTTGCTTACTCACTGTGCAACTTTGGGGAAATGGCTTATCAAATTGTCAAATAGGGGTTATAGTGGTGTCTCCCCAAGGGCTGTTGGGAGAATTTCTGAACATGATGTCAATAAAATGCCTCCCACAGTACCTGGCTCATGATAAGGGCCCCTAAGAGGTGGCTCATTATTTGAGATAATGAGGCCTTGGAAAACAGCACCTATTTATTGAGGATTTACTATGTGTCTGGCACTTGGCTCATGTTATCTAATTCAATTTTCATAACAACTTTTAAATGAGAAGTTAAGTAGCTCAGAGAACTTAAGCAACTTTTCCAGGGTCACACAGCTGAGAAGAACAAACTTGGGTTTAAGTCCAAGTCTTGAACCCTGCAGCATGCAAGTTTGCAAGTCAGACTTCCTGGGCTCAAATCCCGGCTTTTTCACTTACAAGCAGTATGACCCTGGGCAATTTTCTTAGGTGGAGAGCTAGGAAGGGACAGAAAGAGACCACCACCTAGGCCTGAACTGTTCTTTAGGATTTGCAGGAGTCAAAGACACCACCAACGGTACTAACAGTACTGCTGCAGTCTCACTCCCTGGAGATTGTGCAACCTGCCAAGGCCCCTGGAACCTGCTGTTTAATCACAGCATTACCTGGCCCCCATCAAGCACCAGACTGTTTCCAAATGTATTCTTTGTACTCTACCTGGAGCTGAATTCACAATCTGGTCAAGCAGTCAGGACACACACACATACACACACACACACAGCTTGGCTTTCCCGTGTAGACTTGGGCAAGTTGCTTTGCCTCTTTGAGCCTTAATTTGCACATTTGTAAGCTAAGGGGTGATAGGTAGCACCCTGAATGAGGATTACCTACAAAATGGAAGGGCGCCCTGAGTGCTGGAGGTGAGCAAGGAGGAATGGGAGGGTTTGTTTCCAGGACTACTTCAGTAAGAATCAGGCGTTGATTTCTAGGCTCTGTTAAAAGATAATTTTCAGAAAAAGGTTAAAACCGTGACTCTCTTACAGCTATAAAAATGAACCCATACTAAAGATTTTAGTTTACTTGTTAAACAATGAGGGGGCAAGACAGATGTTATAACTCATTCAAAAGAAAAGTACAAATGTATATAGAGTAAAATAAATAGACAGATGTTACAACTGGGTCAAAGGACAAGTCAAAAAAGCACAAATTTATATGGAATAAAGGAATTGAATTATAATTGGAGGCAGAGTTAATTTTTCCACAAAGGGGATGGAAGTCAGTTCCATCAGACAAGACAAAGTTTGTATGTCTATCAGTTATCTGCAATTTATAAAGTGCAAAATATTAAGCTCAGAGACAACGAACAGAGCTAGAATCATACATTCCCCAGAAGGGTGTGCTGTAGTTTTCTCTATAGCCCTTTTTGGCCTGGAGATTCAAGGCTTCTCATCCAGCATCTTCTCATCTCATCTGTAAAATGGAGTGACTAATTGTAATACTCCCTGGTTGCGTGAAGATGCAATGAGCTGGTAGAGTAGAATACTTCACAGACAGTGAAGTCTTGGTTCCCTAATCAAAGGTTATAACAATGTCTCTTACACTGTATTGTGAGGAGGATGAAATGGGCAACACACACAAACAACCCTGACCCATGCCCTCACTCAGTGTGCGTTGACACCTTGTAAGAATAGTTCTGACCACTTCGAAAATCAGCACAAACTGGGTTAAAACCCAGGCCTCTCTGGTGTCGCAAGCCATATGATTTTGTTGAACACGAGATTTTGTTGAGCACCTCCTCTCCTGGTGGGGCCTCAGTCTGCCCATCTTTCCAGGAGTGCTCGGTCAGCCGAACTCCTGAGTGACATCATCTCCTATTCCCTGCACTGTGTGAGGCACTTCACAGCTGCCAAGCTGTCCAGGACAGAGCAACTCTGGGAATGGCCTGGCAGGCAGGTGGCATGGATGTGGTAGGTCAGGGTGACTGGCTGGCAGGGATGTGGCAGGGATAAAGTCCAGCCTCCAGCCCATCCAGAACTGTCATAGTTTCCATCTTGCTCACATGGCCTGGTGGAAAAAGGCTGGCCCCAGCTGGACTTTAGCAAGAGAAAAGGAAAAGATGTTTCCCAACTGCTGGGTCAGGTCTTAAGTTGGCCAGGATGAGAAGGACAGGGCAGAGTCCAGCTTCATCTGAATCTGTGTCTTCTCCCCGCCTTGTCTGTGGCCCAGCTGTCCTCCTGCACAGAGCTGTCATCTTAGAGCATCCCTGTGCCAATTGCCGAAGCAAGACAAGTTGTCCTGCTTTGGGTCCGGGCCTCCGATGCACCCAGCTCCATGCCAAAACCTTTGATGGGGTCAGAGGAGGAGCCCTTGCCTTTGGAGGTTCAGCTATTGGGTCTTCATTGAGGGCTATAATTCATAGGAATGCTTAGTTTGCAAAGGAAGGAAAACAAACTGGTTTGGGCAAAAAAGCAATTTATTGTCCTAAGGGGGAAAACGAAGTCGGGAGAAGAAAGGGAAGTTAGGAGTGAGGCATTTTAACTAGGGAGTCCAGGGAAGTCCTCACTGAAAAGGGATGTTTGAGCAAAGACTTGAGGAGGTGACAGAGTGAGCCCTCTGACGACCCAGGCAGATGGAACAGCAAGTACAAAAGCCCTGAGGTGGGAGTGTGCCTGGCATGTGTGTCAGGAGCCCAGGGAGGGAGGTGAGTGATAGGAGATGAGGTCATAGGGGTAACTTGGAAGCCTGATATTAGTAGGACCTTGTAGGTCAAAGAAAAGACTGGGAAAGTGTATATATTTTTAAAGAATGCCCTTTATTCCATGGACTGAAAGCAGAGTCAGGTTCCTGCAGGCTTTGATGGGAGGGGAATTAAGATGGGGAGTAGAAGTGAGAGGAGCAGAGGATGGAGCAAAGACTTCCCCTTCTCAGCCTGGCCTTCCTTGGTGTTGGGCAGCACCGCCTAGGAGCCAGTGGGGGAATTAGTGCTCTGGGATCTACAACACAAGTGAAAGGAGCCTGTGGCCAGTGGCAGCTCTGGCAGGCAAAAGCCTCCTCTGGAGTCACCTAAAGCACCCAAGTGACTGGGCTGGGCTAGAGCACTTTGTGATGGCTGCTCTTGCCCACTAAGGAAGGGCTCTGGGAGGACAGGTTACCCTTTGTAGCAGCAGTGCCAAGGCCTGGGCCCCATGCAGAGGTCATAGTTTTATGTCTGGTGGGCAGTTCTCACTCTGGGGAAACCCAAACTCTTGGAGAGAATAGGAGATATCAGTCAACGACTTCATTTTACACATGGGGAAATTGAGGCAGAGAGAGAGCAGTGCACTGAGGCTCACATAATTGGACAACAGCAAAGCTGGGACTTGAATTCAGACTTCCTGACTCCCAAAGCCAGTGTTCCTTTCCCACTTCTAGGGAGACAAAAGATCCCAGTGAGAATTCCAGGCCTAGAGTTAAACTCTGCATTTGAATCCTTGCTCTACCACTTGTTGGCTGTGTGACCTGGGGCAAGTCACTTCACCTCTCTGTGCCTCAGATTCCTCGTCTGTAAAATGGAGAAAATAATAATAAAAAAATCAATACCTACCACATAGAGTTGTGGTGAAAATTACATAAGGCAATATCTGGCGTAGAACAGAGGTAACATCAGTAAAAATGGTGGAGGAAGACTGAAAAATTCTTTCCTCCGATAAGAAAAGTGGAAATAAAATGATCAGAATCAACTTTTTCAGAATCTTGAAATTAATCAAAGGCGTGCAGCAATTGAGGGAACATTTATTCAAGAAAAAAGGCTAAATCTTGATAAGAACAGTGACCTCTGTGATGTTCTTACTCGCCCTATTCCCATCCCCCTCTTTTCAGCTCTGTGGTAGCCTTGGAAACCAGTAGCCCCACATTTATGGTGAAAACTATCAAACTGGTAGCCACCAGAGAGGACAAAATAGAGTTGAAGCTCCTTCAAAGCTACATTCCCTGGAGTTGTCCTTGTCGGCCCGTCTGGTGATTCCCTGCAAGACCCCACTTGCAAGGTTGTCTTTATTTTAGCTGACTCAGAGCTTACCCAGTGCAAAAAGTTTCTCTTGCTTTTCACTGGTGGTATTTGTCAAAAACGTTTAGAGGCAATTATTTAACTTTGTGATTGCATTGGTTGTAAATAACATTTGGGGCAAACAATAAGCTAACCAAAAAGCTTTAAAGGAAAAGCTGGAGAGTAAGATGTCCTATAGGGGCTTTGAAAAGCTCTGACATTTCCTGGGAATCTAGAAGGCCATGAGCATGTGTGGGGTGGTACAGGTGCCCAGGGCTGTCCATGCGCACAGGAAAGACTTGAGAGGGCCCTAAACTATCACCTCTGGATGACCTTGAGGCTCTGCACAAGCCGAACGTGAAGGCTAAGGCAGAGTTATCAATTGCCTACCTGAGTTTTGAATATGCTTCAACATACAGACAGACCCTCAACAAAAACTGAGAGACATATTAGTTGCAGGCATTTAAGGAAATTTCTGCCCAATATTTCAATATCATACAGACAAAAGGATCCAGCCTTTATAGAAGCAGTTCAGAAAAGTCACTTAAAAAAACCAAATGCCACAACATCAACATGTGGGGAGGGGCTAGAATATAATTTCCAAAGCATCCATAATATATTATGTAAAATATTCAGGTTTAAACAAACAAACAAAAAAGAGACATGAAAATAAATAAGAAACTATGGCCAGGTACAGTGTCTCATGGCCATGTGGCCAGATACATCTGTAATTCTAGCACGTTGGGAGGCTAAGGAGGGAGGATTGTTTGAGACCAAGAGTTCAAGACCAGCCTGGGCAACATAGCAAGACCCCATCTCTAAAAAATTTAAAAAAAACTAGCCTGTGGTGGTGTGCACTGTAGTCCTAGCTACTTGGGAGGCTGAGGCAGGAGGACTGCTTGAGCCCAGGAGTTTAAGGCTGCAGTGAGTTATGATCACACCATTGCATTCCAGTCTGGGTTACAGAGTGAGACTCTATCTCAAAAAAATAAAGAAGAAGGAGAAGCAGGAGGAGAAGGAGGAGGAAGAGGAGGAGAAAAAGGAGAAAAAAGAGAAGAAGGAGAAAGAGAAGGAGAAGGAGAAACTGGTCCCTATATAGGAGAAAAAGGAATCAATAAAAACTGTCCCTGAGGAAGCCCAGACATTGAACTTACCAAAGACTTTAAATAATCCATTTAAAATACATGCTAAAGGAAATCACGTATAAAGAACTAAAGGAAAGTAGAATGATGTCTCACCAAATAGATAATAACAATAAAGAGATTTAAAATTAGATTTATAAAAGGACCAAATGGAAATTTTGGAGTTGGAAATCACAATAACTAAGATTAAAAATTCACTAGAGGGGCATAACAGCAAACTGGAGCAGGCAACAAGAAAGTCAGCAAACTTGAAGTTGGGTCAATTGAGAGTAGTCAGTCTGAAGGACACAAAGAAAAATGAATAAAGAAAAATAAACAGAGCCTCAAAGACCTATGAGACATTATCAAGCATAATGCCATATGCGTAACAGGAGTTCCGGAAGCAAAGGAGAGAAAGATTCAGAATATTTGAAGAAATAATTTGATGGAAAAACATTTACCTACACATCTAAGCAGCATAACACACTCTAGGATAAACTCAGAGACCTACATGTAGACACATCATAATCAAGCTGTTGAAAGTGAAACACATGGAGAGAATCTTGAAGGCAGCAAGAAAAAAAATTGCTCACCAGGTACAAGGGATCCCCAATAAGATTAACAGCTGATTTCTCATTATAAACCATGGAGACCAGAAGGTGATGAAATGACACATTCAAAGCACTGAAAGAGATTGTCAATCAAGAATTCTATATCCAGCAAAGCTTTCCTTAAAAAAAAAGAGAGAAATTAAAACATTCCCAGATAAGCAAAAACTAAGAGACTTTATTGTTAGCAAATCTGTTCTTTAAGAAATACTAAAGAGAATTCTTCAGGCTGAATAAAAGCACTCTAGACAGCAACTTGAATTCACAAGAAGAAATAAAGAACACCAGTAAAAGGATACAGTAGAAATACATGTTATGTAAATATTTATATATTTTTATAAACCTTTTTCCTCTTATCTGACTTAAAAGATGACTGTGTAAAGAAATGGTTATGAATCTGTGTTGATGGTCATGCAGTTTATGTATAATAATAACAATACAAAAGAAATAAAAGGCATCTATATTGGAAAGGAAAAGTAAAACTATTTCTATTTGCAGATGACATCATCATGATCTTTATAAAATCCTAAAGATTTCACCAAAAAAAGCTAATAAGGCTAATAAAAGGATTCTGCAAGGCTGCAGAATATAAGATCAAAATGAAAAAATCAATTATATTTCTGTGCATCAGCAATGAACAATCCAAAATGAGATAAAACAATTCCATTTATAATAGCACTAAAAAGGATAAGATATTTAGGAATAAATTTAACAAAAGAAGCAGAAGACTTGTATACTGAAAACTATGAGACATTATTGAAAGAAATTAAAGATTTAAATAAATGGGAAGAAATCTGTGTTCATAATTGAAAGAGATAATATTGGCAATATTCTCCAAATTGATTTATAGATCATAGTAATTCCTATCAAAATCCCAGCTGACTATTTGGCAGATATTGATAAGTTGGTCCTAAAATTCATGTGGAAATGCAAGGGACCTAGAAAGGTCAAAATAATCTTAAGAAGGAAACATTGGCAGACTCATACCTTCCTATTTTGAAATCTTTTACAAAGCTCTAGCAATCAAGACTATGTGGTACTGGCATAAGGATAGACATATAGATCACTGGAACAGAATTGAGAGTCCAGAAATAAGTAAATTCATACATTTATGGGCAATTGATTTTTGATAAAGATACTAAGATAATTCAATGGGGAAAAGAATAGTCTTTTATTTCTCTTTCTTTTTTTTTTTTTTTGAAACGAAGTCTTGCTCTGTCACCCGGGCTGGAGTGAAGTGGCATGATCTCAGCTCACTGCAACCTCCACCTCCTGGGTTCATGCGATTCTCCTGCCTCAGCCTCCTGAGTAGCTGGGACTACAGGTGTGTGCCACCATGCCTGGCTAATTTTTTTTGTATTTTTAATAGAGATGGAGTTTCACCATGTTGGCCAGGCTAATCTCAAACTCCTTACCACGTGATCTGCCCACCTCGGCCTCCCAAAGTGCTGGGATTACAGGTGTGAGCCACCATGCCTGGCCAAAGAATAGTCTTTTCAACAGATGGTCCTGGAATGACAGAATACAAAAGACTAAAGGTGGATTCTTATCTTAATCCATATATGTAAATTGACTAAAAATGGATCAAAGTCTTAAATGTAAGAGCTAACACTATAAAACTCTTAGAATAAAATTTAGGAGTAAGTCTTCATTGCCTTGGATTAGGCAATGTTTTTTTCAATATAACATCTAAAGCACAAGCAACCAAAAGAAAAATTGAAGATGTTTGTATTCAAATAACACTATCAAGAAAATTAAAAGACAACCCACAGAATTGGAGAATATTTCCAAAACACATATCTGATAAGGGTCTAAATATCCAGAATATATACTCCTACAGCTCAGGAATTAAAAAACCACAACCCAATTTAAAAATGGACCAAGGGAGGCCGAGGCGGGTGGATTACCTGAGGTCAGGAGTTCCAGACCATCCTGGCCAACATGGTGAAACCCTGTCTCTACTAAACAAACAAACAAACAGAAAAATTAGCTGGGTGTGGTGGCGGGCACCTGTAATCTCAGCTACTTGGGAGGCTGAGGCAGGAGAATCGCTTCAACCTGGGAGGCAGAGGTTGCAGTGAGCTGAGATTGCACCATTGCACTCCAGTCTGGGCTACAAGACCAAAACTCCGTCTCAAAAAAAAAAAAAAAAAGACAAAGGATTTGTGTAGACGTTTTTCCAAGGAAGATACACAAATGGGTGATATACACATGAAAAGATGATCAACATTATTAGTCTTTTGCAAATCAAAATTAGAATCAGATACCACTTCACATCCACTAAGATGGTATAATAAAAAAAAAAGAGGGGCAATAACATGCTGGTGAGAATGTGGAGAAATTGGAACTCTCATATGTTGCTGGTAGAAATGTAAAATGATGCATCCCTTTTGGAAAACGATTTGGCGGTTCCTCAAAGAGTTAAACCTAGAAGTCCCATGACTATAACCCATGAATTCCAATCCTAGTTATACACTCAATAGAAGTGAAAACACATATTCACACAAAAACTTGTACATGTATGTCCATAGCAGCATTACTATTACATGTATGTCCATAGCAGCATTACTCATATTAACCAAAAGGTGGAAACTACGTAAGTGTTCCATCAACTGATAAATAGATAAGCAAAATGTGATGTAGCCATGCAATAGAATATTATTCGGCCATCAAAAAGAATGAAATACTGATACAGTACTTTGTTAACTTTGTTGTGACAATGTGACAACATGGATGAACCTTGAAAACACAATGCTAAGTGAAAGAAGCCAGACTGAAAAGTCCACATATTGTACGACTCTTCATATGAGTCCAGAATAGGCAAATCCTTAGAAACATAAAGTAGATTAATGGTTGCTGGGGGCTTGTGGGAGGGGGAATTGGAAGTGACTGCTAATGGGTATGAGGTTTCTTCCTTTTTTCTTTTTTAATAGACCTTTTAAAGAGCAGTTTTCAATTCACAGCAAAATTGAGTGGAAGGTACTGAGATTTCCCACATACCCTCTCCCCCCATATATGCATGGCCTCCTCCACTATCAAAATCCCACACCAGAGTGGTACATTTGCTACAATCAGTGAATCTACATTGACACATCATTATCACCTAAAGCCATAGTTTACATTAGGGTTCACTCCAGTGGGAGGTTTTTAGGGTGATAAAAATATTCTGGAAATAGATAGTGGCAATCGTTGCACAAACCACTGAATTTGATGCTTTTAAAAGGGTGAATTTTACAGTATGTAAATTATCTCTTAATTTTAAAAAAGTTTTAGAACACTGCTAGACACAGGGTAAGCTCATTAAACACTAGCTCTTATTATTTTTTAACTTTTAAAATAAGGCTTAGGGGAATGGGGGAATAAATTAACTGTTCTTTGTCCTATATCAACCTCCACTTGTTAGAGAAGAAAAAGCAGGAAAGAAAGAAGCAGAATAAAAATGACTCTCAAGTATGTGCGGCTCAGTGAAGACAGGTGATGGGCTCAAGGCACACTTAATCTGTGTAGGGGTAGGAACATGTTAAGCCCATCTACCTCTGTCATCTGGGGTCCTTCCCCTGGCCAAGGCTGTTTCTCTTCTCAAACTGATTGAGTGTAGGACTACTCTTGCCAAGCTCCGAGCTCCTCCAGCAAGCTCCAAGGAGTTAATCTTGACAGTGTGTTTTATCAGGGCTTGTGATCATCCTGTTTCAGAGATGATTGGGTCACACTTCTCCGTTAATGATCCTAAATTTAATGTTCTTATCTCTAAAATGGGTATCATCTATGTTCATGTTTGTTCAACTTGCAGTGATGTCACCTTTTCCTGATTGGGCCTACAAATTTAATGCAGTCTTGATTAAGCCTCAGGAAATTTTTCTTTCTTTCTTTGAAAAAAAAAAAAAGTCAATCTTATTCTAAAATTTACATGAAAACCCAGAGCCAAGAATAGCCAAATAAAATCTTGAAGAAGAAATTAGGATTTCACTCTAGCAGAGATGTAAATTATAAAATCAGTAATTGAGGTAAGGTAGTATTGGCACAAAGAGACCAATGGAATGCACAGAATCTAGAAACAGCCCCACCTGTATGTGATGATTTAGGACAAAAATGACCATGTAGTACAGTGAGGAAAAAGCAGACTTTTCAATAAATGGTGATAGGGCAATAGGATGTCCATTTGGGAAAAAATAAATCCTTGATTCCTGTTAGGGGATGAATATTTTTGTCCCCCTTACCCTTCACCCCACCCATGCCAAATTCATATGTTGAAGCACTAACACCAAATGTGATGATATTTGGAGATGGGATTTTGGGAGGTAAGGAGGCTTAGATTAGATCATGAGGGTGAGCTCCTCCTGATGGGATTAGTGCCCTTTTAAGAAGAGGAAGACAGAGAGATCTCTCTCTCTCTCTCCATGTGCTCACACAGAGGAAAGGCCACATAAGCACAGCAAGAATGTGGCCATCTGCAAACTTGGAAGGGGACCCTCACCAGAAACTGAATGTTGTGATCTTGGACTTCTTAGCCTCTAGAACTGTGAGAAATAAATGTCTGTTGTTCAAGACACTCAATGTATGGTATTTTGATATAGCAGCCTAAGCTAAGACAATTCCCTACCTCACACCATTAAATTAATAAATAAATAAATCCCAGGTGATTTGTGAATCTAAATTTGAAAATCAAAACAATAGGTAAATATATTCTTGTCCTTAGGTTAGGCAAAGATTCCTTAAATGGTTCAGAGAAATGCTAATCATAAAGGAAGATTGATAAACTGGACTTTATTGAAATTAGGAATGTCTGTTCATCCAAAGACATTATCAAAAAAGCAAAAGGTAAACTACAGAGTAAAAGAACACATTTGCTGTATGAACAACCAAAAAAGGACTTGTCAAATAGAACATATAAAAAGTGCCTTCAGTCGTTAAGAAAAAGGCAATTCAATTTAAAAAGGGACAACACACCCAAACAAGCTCTTCACAAAAGAGAATATCCAAATGGCCAATAAGCAATTGAAAATGTGCTCAGCTTCACTGGTTATCAGGGAAAGGAAAATTTACGCCTCAATGAGATAACTCTACACATTCACCAGAATGGCTAAAAAGGAAAACTCTGACAATGCCAAGTATAAACAAGAATGTAGGGCAAGTGAAACTTTTATACATCTTACTTTACATTGGTACAGCAGCTTTGGAAAATTGATAGTATCTAATAAAGCCAAATATATGCATACCCTGTGGACTATCAATTCTACTCCTAGGTTTATGCCTAATATAAATGAGTACCCATGTGCACCAGAAGACAAATACAAAGTGTTCATAGAATTCTACAAAAGCCCCAAACTGGGAAAAATGTTAAAGTACATTGCCAGTAAAATGAATAAATAAATTGTGGTTTACTCATATATAGAAAACTAAAGAGCAACAAAAATAAATGAGCTTCTAATTCATGCAACAACATGGATGAATTTCACAATTATAATTTTCAATGAAAGAAGCCAGACACAATACTGTACTGTACTGCATGATTCCATGTACATAAAGTGAAAAAACAGGTAAAATGAGTCCATGGTGTTAGAAGTCATGAGAGAGGTTGCTATTTGGGGCAGGGAAGGGGAGGGAACATGAGGAGGGGGGGAATATGAAGAGTGACAGTCACTTAGTGTGTTACTTAATATCACTTTGATATTAATCTGTACACTTAGGGTTTGTGCACTTTTCTGTATATGAATTATACTTGAATAAAATGGCTTATTTTCGAAGCAAATAGATAATGATAATGTCTACTATTGTGGGGAATACGTGAAAAAAAGGGTAATCGCTGAGATCACTGATTTCTACTTAAGTTCCAGACACTGAGTAAATGCTTCCCAGAAGTGTAATAAGGACTAAGATTTTGAAATATTTCACTGGGCTTTTCTTCTTTCCCTTTCCTTGTTCCTTAGCTTTCTCCCGAGAAAGCCAGAGGTATCAGTGGGGATCAAGAGTGTTACAGCAGGAGCTCAAGGGAAAAAAGTTTATGTTGAACCTTGGACCTTCCAAATAGGAATTACGGGTTCCTCACAAAGAAATAGTCTTGAAAGCCAGTGTTTTTTTTTTTTTTTTTTTTTTTTTTTAGAGAGAAGCTAATCTTTCCAACTCTTTAGGTTCCCATCCATACATGAAAAGCCTGGCCTGCTGGGCAGCAAGATGGATCCTGACTATAAGCAAGATCCACTTTTCTACCTATTTTTTCATAGGTAGAAAAAATCTAGGATAAGTTGTTAGGGATGTCCTGTGTGTCTAGGAAGGAAGATCAGGGAAGAGAGAGAAGTCAGGGAAAGAGAAGTAGAGAGAAGGAAGTAGAGAAGAAGTAGAGAGAGGAGAAGCAAGATCCCCAGGAGCTTCTTACACACACACACACACAAACACACACACACACACACAGATCCATTAGAGAAAGTAAAGCCTGCATCATTTGTGCACATGTATGCATCATGGTAAAACCTAGCCCTATACACACAAGCTCTCATTTCATCCTCTTAACAATCTCGTTACCCCATTACTGTTTCCATTTTTCACAAGTGGAAAGAGGTTTCAAGAGTGATGTGCTTGCTCAAGGTCGTAGCTGGGCTCCAGCACGTTGCTCTCCTCTGTGATGTTGCACTATTCATAAAACACTTAGTGGAGCATCCAGCACGTTAGAAGATATTAGTGTTATGATCTTAGTCCTTCCTCCCGAGTAAATTGTAGAGTACATTACCATTGGAAATCAGAGGACTCAGATTCTAGAAAGACCTAATTCTGCTACCAATTAACTAGAAGCCCTTGGACGGTGGCAACAGCTAATGCTTGCCTAGGCTCCTTACTGATCACCATGCCCCATCCTGTCTGCCCCTTGAGGGGGTCCCTTAAAGGTGATGTGGGGAGAGGTCAGTGCCATCCTGGCTTGCAGATAAGAAACCTGGGAGACTTGAGCTGCTTACCTTAACAAGGTTTGTGATATAGCAGGTCACTGCTCCTCCCTGGGCCTCAGCGTCCCCATCTGTAAAATGGGGAGAAGGGCACATAAGATGGACAATTTCTAAACTCCTCCCCCTCATTTGAAGTTTCTGGAGTGCAAAAGAAAGAGAAAAGGGAGAGGAAGAAAAAAGAGAGACAGAGTGTTAAAGGAGTGGTTTGGATTTCAGCTTTTATTTTTTTAGGCCATAATGAGAAAAGATTCAAACCAGATGTTGTCTTAGTGACTTGCAGTAGCTGAGAGTGGAACTGTGTTGTGATAATACCACATTAGCATGAAGCAATATATCTATCAACAGTCCCAGTCAGAGTAAAGCAGTTGGCATTTCCAGGGACTGAGTCCCCACGCTTGAGTTCAGCGTTTGAAAGGACCTCAGACCCCAACTGGGTTTCCAAACGCTTCCAGGAAGGGCCCATTCTTCAGACAGTATCCAACCGCCAGCTCTCACTGGACCCCAGTCACAGGGAAAGGAAGGGACCCCAGCCGCTCACTTGGCGACACATTTGAGGCAGGCTGGGGAGGCAGGAAGAGCAGCAGCCCAGAAAAGCCAGGCTCAGTGGGGGCCAGTGGAGCGTGGCCCAAACAGCCCAGAGGGCCACAGGCCACATTGTTATTACTTTTTAATTAAAATGGCGTCTTTCTCCATTATTACAAAAGCCATGTTTGTTTATTTTAGCAAAATTAGACAGGGCAGACCAGGAAAAAGAAAAAATTAAAAACGACTCATGACCTAGAGAGAACCATAGTTAATGCCTGGGCATATTCAGAGTCACGAACTAAATGCTTATGGGGCCAGGCAGTTGATATAAATGTGAATTGGGTGGTAGTAAAATTAATATAAATGTGTGCATAGGGTGAGTTAATTTATATAAATATTAATACAAATATGTGAACTTTGACATTAAAAAATCAGGAATGTCTGAATCTGTGAAGTAATGGAGAATACAAAGTCAGGTGTAAACGAATTCAAAAGTCAGAGAGATTTTAAATATTGATTTCCACTTCAGGGGCCACCAGTTTGAAATCCCTGCTATGTATCCTTCTATATCTTTATGTATGTATGTATATATGTAAAGATACACATATATGCATATACACACACATATACAGATAAACATACATATATACATATATGTATATAATACCCCCCACTTATCCTTGGTTTCTGTTACCTAAGGTCAACCACGGTCCAAAAATATTAAATGGAAAATTTCAGAAATAAACAATTCATAAGTTTTAAACTGCATGCCATTCTCAGTAGTGTGATGAAATTATCCTCTTGTCCAGTATACCCATGCTGTACACAGTCCCCGACTGTTAGTTACATCGTAGTTGGCTCAGGTCTCAGATCGAATGTCCTGGTGTTGCAGTGCTTGTGTTCAAGTCACCCTTATTTTACTTAGCAACAGCCCCAAAGTGCAAGAGTAGTGATGTTGGGAATTTGGATATGCCAAAGAGAAGCTGTAAAGTGCTTCCTTTAAGTGAAAAGTCAAGATAAAAGTTCTTGACTTAATAGGGAAAGAAAAAAGTCATATGCCGAGGTTGCTATGATCTGTGGTAAGAAAGACTCTTCCATCTATGAAAATGTGAAGAAGGAAAATGAAATGTATGCTAATTTTGCTGTCATACCTCAAACTGCAAAAGTTATGGCCATAGTATATAATAAGTGCTTGGTTAAAATGGAAAAGGCATTACAATTGTGGGTGGAAGATAGGAACAGAAATGAGTTCTGATTGATGGTAATCAGGTTGTTTGGTGCTAGCGGTAGTGTCCGGCATCCACAGGGGGTCTTAGAAATTATCCCTTGAGCCAGGCACAGTGGCTTATGCCTGTAATCCCAGCACTTTGGGAGGCTAAGGCAGGTGGATCATGAGGTCAAGAGATCAAGACCATTCTGGGCAACATGGTGAAACCCCATCTCTACTAAAAATACAAAAGTTAACTGGGCGTGGTGGCGAGCACCCATAGTCCCAGCTACTCGGGAGGCTGAGGCAGGAGAATCGCTCGAACCCAGGAGGTGGAGGTTGCAGTGAGCCGAGATCACGCCACTGCACTCCAGCCTGGTGACACAGTGAGACTCCATCTCCAAAAAAAAAAAAAAAAAAAAAAAAAAAAGATATTATCCCTTGAGGATAAGGGGGCACTACTGTACAGCAAGTATAATTTTATGCATATACTCAATATAATACTCCAATAAAAGTGGCAGGAAGATTGGGGACCAGTATCTCCACCCCTTCCTCCACCTTCCTGCCCTAACAGCAGCCCCTCAATAACTCTGGGCAACACAAGAATCTGGTTTGAAAATCAGTCTTCTATTCCAGTGCTTCCTAGTGTCCATCATTTCATGGAGCAGTAAATTCCACCTTCCAAAAATTAGGGTTGTTGGGGGGCTGACCTAGGGTTGCCAACTTTCTTCCCATTAGTTATGGCAGGCATGCCTAGCTGCTCACTCAGTAACCATTTCCTACTCCTCTATCCCTTTCTTTCTTAGTTTTGTTTGAGGGGCTCAGGTACCCTGTCCTGGGCAATTAATCACCATTAGTAAACCTGACACGGTAATCTCATTCCCTCTGCCAGATTCTTGATTTCCTAGACTTCCTTGCAGCTAAGGGTGTCCTTGTGACCCAGTTTAGCCAATGAGATACATGAGGAAGGGAAAGAATCATTGGTTCCATTTCACCCTCCCTCTTCCTACCTTGAACATGAACACTATGCCAAGAACAGTGACAGCCATGGTGGGATCATGAAAGAAAGGGCCAGAGAATCACAGAGACCCCTATCTGCCTAGTGTTGGTGAGCACTGATATTTCCCCAGGGGCATCTATCTCCAGACTTCTTTTCATGTTAAAAAGTAAGCCCCTATTTGTTTGTGCCATTGTTAATTGTATTTTTTGTTATTTGCGTCTTGGAAAGATGAAATGAGTCAACATCCATTATCATCACCAAGCCAAAGAAGTTGAGCAGAGATAATGTTACAGAAAAAAAAAAGTTTTGTGAACATTTTGGTGTGGTCTCTGTTTTTCTGATTTTACTATAGACTAGCAAAAACATTTTCATAGAGCAGCCTTAGCCGATGGACAAAAATGCCTGGGAATTACCAATCCTTACCACAGCAGCAGATGGAATGACTGAAGGGCCATCCACCATCAGACTCATTACACAGGCTGGGCTTCTACTGTGGGACATTCAGATTGTTTCCTATTATTTCCTGTATACACAGTGATGCAATGAACATGTATGAAACTAAATCTTTGCTCTCATCTTTACTTTTTCTTTGGATGAATTTCTTTGGATGAATTCCTAAAAGTGGAATCTAGCTCATTTTACCCAAATGCCTTCCAGAAAGAAAACACCAAGTTATATTGTCACCTCCCCATGGCTGCTTCATACAGCCAATTTGGATTGATAACATGTGTTGCCCCAGGATCCCTTCCCAAACTGCACTTGGGCCAAGGTGGTTGGAGTTGGCTGGCTTCTGCTCCCTACAACCAGGAATCCTGATTCACACATCTGTATCACCCTTCAGCCCTCCAAGATCAAAGCCATTGGCACATTTACAAGTGGTCACTCCCCATCGTAAAATCTTCCCCTGCCCTTCCCAGTTTCCACAGAGGTGGAGAAGAATATCAAGCCTTCACTCAACTTCAGCTGTAGAACTTAAAACTGTGGGCCGGGCACGGTGGCTTATGCCTGTAATCCCAGCACTTTGGGAGGCCGAGGCAGGTGGATCATGAGGTCAGGAGTTCGAGACCAGCCTGGCCAAGATGGTGAAACACCATCTCTACTAAAAAATTAGCTGGGCATGGTGGCAGGCACCTGTATTCCCAGCTACTTGGGAGGCCGAAGCAGGAGAATCGCTTGAACCCGGGAGGCGGAGTTTGCAGTGAGCTGAGATCACACCACTGCACTCTAGCCTGGGCAACAGACCAAGACTCTGTCTCAAAAAAAAAAAAAAAGAAAACTGTGTCACCAGGGCCTGCCGACATCCTCAGGTCTATCACCCACTCCTCACTGGTGCATCCAGGTGCACGGTGTCATTTACTGTTCTACAACCACATCATGAGCTTTTGTACCTGTTCTCATCTGTGGGAAGGCATTTTCCCTCTTTCCAGCTAACTGGTGCTCATCTTTTAAAATTCAGCTCAAACGTCACTGCTCCCAGGCAGCCTCCTTGACCTCCTCAAGCTGAGCAAGGGCCTGTGTTTGGACCCCCACCCCCTATATAATGCTTCCCTCTATAATGCCATGACCACACTCATGTATCTGTCTCATTCCCTCACCAGACTCTTAGGTCCTCAAAGGAGGAGAGAGCCAAAGAAGCAGAGCTCCCTTGGAGAGAAGCTCTGTCCTCCCTGCTTGCCACACACACAAACCCTACCCACCCATCGACTCCTTTTGGAGTCTGACTCGTGGCCTACCTCGTTGCCAGAGAGTGTTGGACTTGGTGCCCAAGGCCTAGAATTGTGCCTATGCAGGCACATCCTTCCCTCTCTGGGCCTGATCAGAGGAAGAAATCAAAACGGAAATTGTCAACCAGCCATTCCAGCTCTCACAGTGGGTGTCTAATAATGGTTGCACCAGACTGGAAGATGCTTGACAAATCATTCTCCCAGAAGTTCTAGCAGGAAGTAGAACTCAAAAGGATTCATCTTACATCCATTCCTTTTTCTTCTGGCAAAAGTCATGGTTTTCTTTTTGGGATTCAGTCCTCTCCTTCCTTCAGCCTGGGAGGGCGAAGGTGGAGTGTTGATCTCAAGCCAATCAGAGTTAGGTATTCCCTGAACCATGGTGATTGGTTCAGGTATGTGGGCCTGTGACATGAAAGCCCATCAGAATTAGGTATTTCCTGAACTGCAGTGATTGGTTCAGGTATAAGGCACATGAACTGAGAGCCAATTAGAGTGAATCCCAAAACTACTGGAAGATTGACATTGCTTTGTGTGGATTTGGAATCCAGAAGCTGTAGTCACCTAGACTGCTGGAGAATGAGGTCCACACTGATGGATCAAGACAGAGACCAGATTTTGCCTGGGGTTCTATTCACTGGGTTTGAATTGAACCCAGTCGATTCATTTTTCCAATCCTTGCATCCAGCCTCTTCTGGACTATTGGTTCTCTCTTCCTCACCTTTCCTCCTTCTTCTCCTCCCTTTTATTTCTCCATCTTCTATCTCTATTTCTTCCCCCACCCTTGCTTCCCTACCCATCGTATTGCAGACGTTTCTGGCTCTGGTCTGTCCATGTGCACTGGCCTCACTGCTCCCTTGACTCACAGGGGTGGGAATGGGGTCCTCAGAGGGGCTAGAGGAACAGGTGGCAGAGTGTGCATGGAAGGGGTGGAGTGACTGGGCAACAGCCAGTGTTCCTGGAATCTTCTACAGGGCATTTCTTTATTCTGGGCTCATGGCTCAGCTGGTGTCAAGCATCTTGTTACCAGCTGAGGAGCTTACACATTGTGCTGGCTCTGTGAGTTTTCTGCAGCATTGTGGGGGAAAGCCTTCCTCCCTGTCTGCTCCATTTGCTCGTTACCAGGACTGTTCAAGGGCAACACCAGACACTGAAGGGAGAATTAAAGGCAACGGTCTCCATTATGGTTTTAACATCCTCCTTGTCATGTTGATTGGCAGGGAGCACAGAAGACAGTTATGCCTCACCTAGATTCATACATCTCCCCACCCAAGCCTGGGCCCATCATCTCTTCCTAGAACCGTTGCCCTTCCAGGCTCACCCTTCCACTAGCTTCTTCTAATTTGGCCTCTAAATTACTAACAATGTGCTTTGTCTGAAACATGTTCTATTCAGGCCACTTCACGAATTCAGGGAGTGGATTAGTTATATATGACCACATGACAAATTGCAAACCATAGTGGCTTAAACTCAAAGTTGACAAACTAAAATCCTCAGGCCAAATCTGGCCTGCTGCTTGTTTTTGTAAATAAAGTTTTGTTGGAACACGGCCACACCTATTCATTTATGTATCATCTATAGCTGCTTTTGCAGAGTTGAATTATCGTGACAGAGACAAAAATACTTCCTTTTAGGCCCTTTAGAGATAGTTCATTAACCACTGGCTGTACACAACAACAGTCATTTACCAATCTGTCATGGTTTCTATGAGTCAAGAATTTGGGAGCAGCTTGACTAGGTGGTTCTGGCTCAGGACCTTTCATGAGGTTGCAGTTAGGTATTGGCTGGGGCTATGCTCATCTGAAGGTTTGACTGGGGCTGAAAGATCCACATCCAAGGAGACTTACTTACATAGCTGGACAGTTGATACTGGCTATAGGCTGGGTGGGGCCTGTGTTCCTTTTTACATGGGCCTCAACACAAGACAGCTTAAGTGTCCTCATGGCATGGTGACTGCTGTCCTCAGAGTGAGCAGTCTAAGAGAACAAGGTGGAAGCTCAGTGCCCTTAGGAGCTAGATTCAGAAGTCACACGCTGTCACTTCTGCCATATTCTACTGATCACTCAGGCCAGTTGTAATTCAATGTAGAAAAGATGACACAAAGGAATAAATACCAGGATGTGGGATAATTTGGGGCCATCTTAGAGGCTGGCCACCATATGGAAGACAAAAATCAATGCTTCCATGAGCATTTTGGCTCACAGATGTGTTTTGTTAGGCTTGTACCATGCTTTAAGTTGATATTTTAAAATTGTGAGATTTCACAAAATATCTAAAATATTTAAATTATTCCACATTTCCACATGTGACAATAGGATGGAAGTGAACAACAACTTCCCTCTTTGCAAGAGACATAATTCTTTCTAGTTTACCACAGATCCCACCATTCCTGACTGTATCCTTAAAGGAGAAAATGAATTTCAGTGATTATTAACAATTATCCTTGGGTTGTTTCTTACTGTAAAGAAATACTTCCCTGAAAGCTCTTCTATATCAAAAGACGGCAAAGAAAAGATACACTAAGAGAATCTCCCATTTTAAAAATAATCAAGGGGGACCGCATTTCTTATTAGGAAAGAAGAATGTATCTGTATATTTAATATGCATAAAAAATGTGTGTATTTTAAACAACCACAACCAAGACTTGTAAAAATATTACTGCTTAGCCTGTTGAGGCCGATCTCCTTCCTGGCATTAAAGATCTTCTGTATTCTGGTCCCTCCATACCTTAAAGGCAATATGGCATGAGGATTAAAAGTTCAGATGCTAGGATCAGACTGTGTCAGTTCAAGTATCAGTTCAACCATTCACTAGTTGTGTCCTCAATTTTATCATCTCAGAAATGAAAATCATAATAGTACCCATCTCAGGGGGTTTTATGGCTACCTTTTCAGCTCCATTTTAAGCCCTGCCAGTACTCTAGCTACCCGAACACTCCAAACTATTTTATCCCTCTGTGTCTGTGCACATTCTATTTCCTCTGTCTGCAATTCACATGTCCTGCTTCTCTGCTGCAAAGCTCAGTCCACAGTGAGGTGGCTCTTCACCAAACATGTCTGTATCTCCCAGACACAGTGTAGGATACTGCTTATTGGCCCCCCTGTAGTTGGATTGAGGTTATGTGATAAGAGCTGGTCAATGAGTTGTGGGTACAAGTAACACATGTCTCTTCCAGGCTGGAGCATTTAACAGCAGGTTTGAAACCCTTGAGAATTCTCTCTTCTTTAGGCCTCAGCAACTGGGCCCTGGAGTAAGGATGACGATGATGGTGTGAGCAGAGCCACAGCCAAACCACGACACGTGTGTTGAGCAAAATATCTACCTCTGTGGTTTCAGACTTCAGGGTTGTAACAACAGCATTAACTGGCTTACACTTACTCCTACATCTGCTCTCTGCGGCTTTCCTTAATCCTCCCAAACATGGCAACAGTACAAACCTCTATTGACATATGATCCCCTTATGCCCTGTATTAAATAACTGGCTTCTATGTATCATGGTGCCTACAGGCACTGTTCCCTCCTCAGAGTGGCCTTCCCTAAGTACCTATTGTAAAGATGATCTCTTTCTCCTCGCTGGATGAATACTCAGTTTATTTAGTTCTTGGTACTTTATTCTTAACAGCAATTGTTTTTATTTATTTAATTCTTGTCTGCCTCTCCCATTAAACAATAAACTTATAGCCCTGGAGCTTAGCTCAGTGTTTGATCCAGGGATATTAGTAAATGAATGATTGATTGAATGAATGATCAATGAAAACTGTACATCCAGTGTTTAGCATGGTGCCTTGTGAGACTGAGTGAATGAATGAATGAATGAATGAATGCATGGCCCCTGGTACAACTCAACAACTCACCCACACTTAATCATATTTGCAAGTTTCCTCTCTCAGGCCACATCACAACTTGAAAGGCTGCAGAAGGCCCAGTGTAAGGGGCTGTAGCTGCTGCCTTTATGTTTTCCCCCTTTTCTGCAAAATGTTCTGTGATCGTTTAAAGCCAGGAAGCAAAATCAAAGGGCCCTGAATTCAAAGATGCTAATTACCTTTCAAAGAGTTCCCCTTGGCTTTAGCCACATGATTCCTGTCAGAGGCTGTGGGAGTTTGTGGTTCCTGTGCTGAGCTTTGAAACAGGGAGGGATTAATGGGGCTTGATTAAACCACAAATGTCAGGAAGTGCAGAGGGCAGCTAGGAATGCTGGCCACCTCTGTCCTGGAATAGGAGGAACGACCACTGACCTCCCCTCCCCACACTGGGCTTGATCTTCTGATAAAGGGGCTGAAGGGGGAGGCATCTTCTTCCCCCTCCTCTCAAGGGTGCCATTTTCATGCCTATGATGATGCTCATGTACATGGAAATGAGTGATGTGCTAATGAGAATTTAGTTTTGCTTTTGTTAAAGCAACCCCTAAGGAGGCGTAATAAGAAACCTGCCTACTAATTTTCAGTGGCCTGACATCATAACAGCAACCTCCTCGGCTGCACAAAAAGAGGTTTGTGCTAAAATAGTGAGAGAAATGACAGTAATAGGTACCGGTTCACTGAGCACCTATCTTAGTACTAGGCACTGAGCTCATTGCTTTATATGGTGAACTTTATTTCATCCTCATATCTGCCCTGGGGGAGATGCGGGCTTTCATTAACCCCATTTTACAGAAGAGGAAATTGAGGCTCAGAGAGGTAGAAGTGACAGACCAAAAGTTAACCCTGGGTCTCTCTCACTTCAGAACCAGAACCATTCTCCCTTGCTCACTCTGTTGGTGAATTCTAAGGGCCCATGTCCCTGATATTCTCAGATGAATGATTCTGTAGAAAACATAAAGACAGATAAGAGAAGTGGAGAGTCATGCTGGAGAAGTTCATACCAATCGTGGTGAATCCTTATCTCGTTTTTGAGACCACCCTGGGCCTAAATCATACACTATTTTATTAATTCCCCCCAACTACTGAGAAAGAAACCGGTAACACTTCCTGTCAGGAAGCTTTTTAGCTACGAGAAGCTAGAACTGATCTCAGTGAGGAAGACGCTTTGGATATGCTTGCCCCATATCAGCCCTAACCCTTCCTTGCCTGTCTTCATTAAGGAGGCTGGAAAAGTTGAATATCCACTTTACTGCCAGAAGTGGCCACATGGCCAATTCCAGCCAATGAGAAATGAGTGGAAGCCTCTACTTTCCTGATAAGAGAAACAGACATTGCTTGCAGCAGCCTTCCCTACCTCCTCCTCCTGCCTGGAATATGATGTGATGCCTGAACTGTGGCAGCCATCCTGTATTCAGAAGGAGAGGCCAAGAAAATCACAGACATTGCTGAGCCTGTGATGACTAGCATCACAGTCACTGTCAACCTCTAGATTTTTTGAAAATGAGAAGGATAAAATTTCTATTTATTTAAGCCTATGTTAGCTAGATTTTTTACTGCTTGAAATAAAAAACACCTTAATGGGTATAGCCTTTTTCAGTATGTCTCTTATTAGAGTGAGGAAATTCCCCCATATGCCCCTTTCTTGCCTATTCCTCTCACATCTCTGTCCAGAACTTGGTCCAATGTCTCTTACTAAGCTAATTGCTAGTCAGGGAAAGGAACCAACATGGTTGGCTTAGACCAACATGGTTCTTAAACTTGAAGTACATCATTGTCTTACGTGGGGGGCTTGTTAAAGTCCAGATTTCTGATTCCTATCTCCAGAGTTTCTGATTTAGTAGGTCTGAGAGGGTATCTGAAAATTTGCATCTCAGGGAAATGTTCTGCTCCACTATCTATACACGTAATATCAGAGAAAGTTTGCTGGGGGAAAAGTAATCAAGGGAGGCTTCTTGGACGAGGGATCATAAGTTAAGACTTAAAGCTTAAGGATGGAAAAGATGTGTTAGGATGGTGGCAGGAAGGAATGCCCTTAGTGAGAAACAAATGGCCAAAAAGATGGTAAGTGGAAAATGAGGAGGTGTGGTGTGGAGTAAAATGGAGAGGATTGGATTGGGTAGGTACTGTGGTTTCAACTGATGAAGGGCTTTCATCATTAGCTCCAGAATCCAGGAGTTGATTTTGGAGGCAAGAGGAAGGTAGGTTAAGAGCTTGGTCTTTATTGCCAGACTTGTGATTCAAGTCCTGGCTCCATCATTCATTTATTCATTCATTTATATTTTTGCTGTGGTTTTTCTGAGCAAGTCAATTTCTCTCTCCTAGCCTTTATTTTCTCTCAGATATAAAATGGGAACTGATGATGCCTCTCTCAGAGGGGTCATTATAGGATTTAAATAATACATGCACCTAGTGCTAAATCCATGATAGCTGAGAGAAAAATACTCATTTTGAGAAAAACCTGTATCCTCATCTCTCATGACATGTTAATTGGTGGGCTGAGGTTCATCACCAAATAACTTCAAGAAATACTGAGTTAGTAAAGGTTTCTTTACTGTAGGACTTTGCAGAGACTTTAATATGCTAATATGAGGGATGAATCTCATGAGAAAGACAGTGACCTGCAGCATTTCCCCAAGCTTGTTTTGCTCACAAAATGCTTTTTTAAAAATATAAATTATTGTAAACATTTTTGGGAATGCTCATGTTTAGCAGAACAATGAGAAACCAATGTAAAGCATCTAGGTACTATTTTACAAAAAGTTTTCATTTATGTTTTAATGAAGCATAAAAATGGCAGCATTTTGTCAATTCATTAGGTTATACTTCTGTGTTAGTCAGTTTCCCTAAGTTATGCTGGCATAACTAATAACCGTCAAATCTCCCTGGCTTACAACAACAAATATTTATTTCTTATTCACCTTACACTCAGGACTGGCTGCAGCTCTGGCCAAATCCTCTTCTTCCTGGGACCCAGCTGATAAAACAACCCTATTTGGAATACACTATTCTGGTGGAAGGCAGAGAAAAGCCACAGTGGAAACGTGGTGGCTCTTAAGGCTTCTGCTTAGAAGTGGCATTACCTCACTCAGGTCATATATCATTGGCCAAAGTAAGTCACATGTCCAGGCCTGATGTCAATGGCACAGGAAGTATAATTCTCTTATAGGGAGCAAGAGAGAGCTTTGGGAACTAAAAATACGGTCCATTCTGTTGTTAAAAGAAAAACTTTAGACAAATTAAATTTAGCAGAGTTTATTTGGGCAAAAAAGTGATTCATGAATTGGGCAGTACTCAGAGCTAGAAGAGGTTCAGAGAGCTCCACTTTAGCAGTTGAGCTGCAGGCTTTTATAGGGTGAATGTGGAAGCAAAGCAAAGACATTGCTTGACTGGCTACAAGTAGGTGTTTGCCTTATTTGGGCACGATCTGGTGGAAAGTCCCTAGAGGTTAGTTGGCGGTTTCAAATTAGCTAAGTCTCCAGGATCATTTTACGGTTTACATTAGGCTTTGATTTGCTTACATAGGAACCCAAAGCACTGGAGCTATCTCAGCATAATGGCACCTCAACTTAAAAATATTAACACTGTCATTTTGAAAATAGCCACCCTGTTTTAAAATACTGCCTAATTTGCATTGTTCATTAATTTAGTTTTGTCTAAAATTGGATTATATTGTAAATTAAATAGCGAAGAAAATGATCATATTTATAATATTGAGACATCTCATCCATGAATTTGCCATATTTCACCATTTACTTAGGCCTTCATGTCCCTCAATACAGTTTTCTTTTCTTTTCTTGGTACCTCACAGTTTATGAAGTATATTTAATTCTCCAGAAACTCTCTAAGTTGCTAAGTTGCTATTTTGATTATTCTCTCATTTTTTTCTTTTTTTTTTTTTTGAGACAGGGTCTCACTCTGTCACCCAGGCCAGAGTGCAGTGGCGTGATCTCGGCTCACTGCAGCCTCTGCCTCCTGGGTTCAAGTGATTCTTGTGCCTCAGCCTCCTGAGTAGCTGGGACTACAGGCACGCACCACCATGCCCAGCTAAGTTTTGTATTTTTAGTAGAGATGGGGTTTCACCATGTTGCCTAAGCTGGTCTTGAAATCCTGACCTCAAATGATCTGCCCACCTAGGGCTCCCAAAGTGCTGGGATTACAGGAGTGAGCCACCATGCCCAGCCGATTATTATTATTTGATAAATGAAGAAATTGTGGTTTACAGAGAGCCCAAGTCCATTTTACTTCTAAATAAAGCTTAGGTCCAAGGGCTGATTCAGGTGCGTGTGACAAAACCAATCAAAGTGTTTTTCAAAACTGAGAAACCCAGACATGGCTGAATCTGTAGGATCTTATTGGTGTCCTAGGTGCACTCTTCCTACCTTTATCTCTCAGCTTGGGTGTCTTGTTTGTTCACGTCATTCTCAAGCAGATATTCCCCATATGACAAAAGGATAGTTGTCAGAGGTTCATTGCCATTGGCAACCCTAGAGAAAACCTGAGACTGTCTTTCCCCGAGCATCCATGTCAATCCCTGAGAAGGACTCTAATTGGTCAGCCTGGCCTGGTGCTCACTCTTGCATAGGACCACATGATTGACAGCCCCATTAAAATCATTTGGAGAGGTAGGGGGAGAGTTCCCTAAAGGGAACGAAGGGCTGAAGGAGAATGATGCTAGGTGGCCAGAATGAATGGCAGATGCCCACTGTATCGTGCAGTCCCCACTGCCCTTCACTGGGGTGTGGAGGGAGGAGGCTTGCATCCTGTGTTGGCTTTGCTAGTAGTAATTTTGTCATATTGTAACTTCTGGGACTCTTACTTTGCTCATATGGCAAATGGGGAGCCTAACCACACAGGTGGGAAACAAATGAGGAAACGCATGGAAAAGGAGATCTGCAAAATAAAGCACTCTGTAAGAAATTGCTTGCATCATCATTGGCCATAATTAGTGAAGTTATCCCTCAGCTCGAGAACCTTGAATGGTTCCCTACTGCCTGACTCATTAAGTTCATGACACTTTGTGGCACTTGCAGGGCTCTTTAGCGTTTGGTCCCACCTGGCCTACCTCACTTCTGCCTAACCTACCTCCTCCAGTCTAAGCAAGCTGGTCTTCTCTTGTCCTGCTCACTTGCACTTTGAAGCCAATTCCCCAGTTCCACCTAGTATGAAACCACCCATTTTCCTGGGTGTCCCTGGCAAGTTTTGGATTTTCCGTGAAACTCAGTTTTTTCATCTCTTAAACTGGAATAATTGCTTCACAGGGTCATTGTGTGTATTACATAAAAGTGCATTGGCTATCCTTGTTTCCCTTGCATATTCTTTCCTGTGCACTCTTCTAGGGATCACCTCTGAGACAGTGATGCGTAAGGAAGGTATTTCCAACTTGGGAACACTTGGGCCCATCAGAGGCACTTATGACAGATTGCCTGGTGTCTTAGTCTGTTCATGTTGCTTGAACAAACTACCATAGACTGGCTATCTTATAAATAAATAATAGAAATTTATTTCTCATAGTTCTAGAGGTTGGAAGCCCAAGATTAAGGCACTGGCAGATTTGGTGTCTGGTGAGGGCCTTCTTCCTTGTTCATAGTCTTCTTACTGTGTCCTCACATGGCAGAAGGGACAAGAGATCTCCCTGGGACCTCTTTCATAAGGGCACTAACCCCATTTATAAGGGCTTTATCTCCCAAAGGGCTCATTTCCACACACCATCACATTGGAGATTAGGTTTCAACATATGAATTTTGGATGGACACATTGAGTCTATGGCACCTAGAAAAAGAGTGAGATCAGCCCTTTAGGTGCAAGGACTTAAAAAAATGTCCTCCTAGAGAGGAAGAAGAAGGGACCATGGTTGGGGCTTTGGGTCCCTGAGGAAGAGGATGACTCAGCCATGGCGAAGATGTGTTTTGGGGTCAGGCTGTAGCTTGGGATGGGCCCATGTCTGTGGTCAGGGGAGAGGAAGGCTGTGAGCAGGCAGAATGCTGGTGTCTGGACCAGCAGTCCCACATGGCCGTTTGCTCCAGTGGCAGCCCACCCAGGCAGGCACCCTCTGTCTTGGCCCCATACCCATATACATATTCTGGGGATGTTGCTACCTCACTTCACTATGTGAGCTGGGCCATAGTCTACTTCCACCCTTCAGAGATGCTGCCAGCAATGTTCTGGCCAAATCCAGCCTGCAGACCCATTTGGTGTGGCCCACACAGTGTGTGGTGCTTTTATAAATGGCTGCAAATTCATTGATGCTCTTCCATCAAGAGGTGAAGTCTGTGCTCCCCTTCCCTTGGATCTGGGTGGGTATGTGGCTGCTTGACCAGTAGAGTATGGTAGAAGTGACACTATGGAACTGAAGCCAGGCCATAAAAGGCCATGCAGCTTTCATCTGCAGCTCCCACGCTCAGGACACTTCGTCTCAGAACACAGCCACCATGCTGTGGGAAGCTCAGACCACATGGAGAAGCCATGTGTAGGTGCCCCAGTGGACAGTCCCAGCCGAGTCCAGCCTTTGAGTCATCCCAGCCCAGAGAGCAGATATCTGAGTAGAGAAGCCTCTCGATGATTCTAGCTCCAGCTATTTGAATCTTCCCAGCTGAAGCCCCACACACCATGGAGCTGAGTGAAGCCGTCCCCACTTGCCCTGTCCAAACTTGACACGAAGAATCCATGGACATCATAAAATGGTTGCTTGATGTCACTAAATCTGGGGTGATTTGTTACATGGAAATATTAACTGGAAAATAGTGCTTCTAAAATCTGATTTTCATGCCAACATTTAAAGTTGGGAGCTTTCACATGCAAACCTGAATTTCTGACTTTGAATGAAAAATAAAATAAATCTGGCTATACTGGGTTTTCATCCTTGTTTAGCAAAAATTAGTCAGAGTTACCCCCTTGAGAAGGGATATAGATGGCCTGTCTGCTTTGGCCCCCACCTGGCCACCTCTGCTTGTTTAAGTCACAGGGGTCAGGCTACTTGCCTGGTCCCTGTAGGCATGTGGCTATGTTGGCCCTAAGCCAGAACCATCCTGTCACCTCTTGGGATGCCCAAGTTCTCAGAGCCTTTCCTCTCCTTGATGACTTAGACATCCCTGACCTCTGTGGGTGCCCCCCTTTCATCCCTGGAGCTACATAAACCTACAAAACCATGCCAGGTTCTATCCTTCTCTTTGCTTAGAAAACTGCTTATGTGAAACAAAAACCAGCCAGGGCCCTGAGGTGGTGATGGCCATGTCTGGAGCTTGCTTGTCCCTGTAAACAATTTCCTTGTGATAATCTTTTCACTTATCCTCCCAAGCTGGAACTGCTGTGTGAAATCAAGCCGGGTGCCGTTGGCTTATCCTGTACATCTTGGAGTCATTAAGATCTGGCTTTATATTTTAGGGTGAGTTGTCCAGAGCCACTGAGGCCAGGAATTCTAGGATCCTTAACACGTGTCATGGTATTATAGGAACTTAGAAACAAGTCCAGGACAGATCTTATAAACAGCAAGACTTAAAAATCAATCTATCTTAACACCAAATATAGATGAGCCAGGTACAAATTCCAGTGAATATCTTTCTTTATTTTTCCTATACAAACCATTTATTTTTTAAGCTTCCATTCATGCAGCTAGCAGAGACTTAATTAATTAATTAATTAATTCAACAAATGTTTATCAAGGGCCTCTATGTTCCATGAATTTTTTTTGGAGAAAGGAAGAAATATAACCATAGACACATCAGATAAAAATCTCTGCAAATTCAACCCATATTAAAATACGGAGTTTAAGTTGCAAACCAATGAAAGCGACAGATGAAAACCAAATAAACAAATAAATGTATGATAGAATGTCATAGGTGGTGATAAGAGCTCTGAAGAAAAATCAGTCAAGGAGAAGGGCTAGGTAGTGATGGAGAAGGAGTGTTGTTTTATACAGAATGGTCAGAGAAAGTGTCCTGTGAAGGTAACTCTTTTAGAGACCTGGAAGATGTGAGAAAGTGAGGCCAAAGAGGTCGGGCACAGTGGCTCACACCTGTAATCCCAGCACTTTGGGAGGCTGAGGCAGGCAGATCACTTGAGGTCAGGAGTTCGAGACCAGCCTGGCCAACATAGTGAAACCCTGTCTCCACTAAAAATACAAAAAGTAGCCAGGTGTGGTGGCATGCACCTGTAATCCCAGCTACTCGGGAGGCTGAGGTGAGAGAATCGCTTGAACCCGGGAGGCGGAGGTTGCAGAGAGCTGAGATCAGGTTTTTGTACTCCAGAGGCCAAGGAAGCCCTAGGGAAGAAGGCTTCATTTGGGTGGGAACAGAGAAGAGTAGGGATTGAGGTGGCAATCACAGTCAGTTTAAGACTTTTCTTCCCCACCAGCTTGTTTAAGTCCTGAGAGGCTCACAAAATCCCAGAACAGGAAGAACATCTAGTCCTACATGTCATCGCTTCATGCTGGCAGCTCCTGTGCCCTCCTCATCCTGATTTTCAGCCAGGACTATTAGCTTTTGATGCCTCACCTGTGCCACCTTGAAATGCCTGGCTCTCCTCGATTCTCTGACCCACAGAAATCTGCAAGAGGCTGCTCAGAACTGTCTGTGTAGACGCCACCTGTGGAATTACCTCAGTTTCTGTCCTGTGCCAAGAAGGGGGAATCTGAATGGGAGTCAGCCTCTACCTGTCTTTTTTAGTCCTGACATCTCTTTGGAGGGATGGCAGGGAGAAAGTGGAGGGCGGAAGTAGGGCTGGATCTAGTTTTTTGTTGTTTTTGTTTTTGAGACAGGGTCTTACTCTGTTGCCCAGGCTGGAGTGCAGTGGCACAATCTTGACTCACTGCAACCTTCGCCTCCCAGGTTCAAGAGATTCTCACATCCAAGCCTCTGGGATTACAGGCGCCCATCAAATTAGCCCATGTCCGTCTAATTTTTGTATTTTTAGTAGAGACGGGGTTTCACCATGTTGGCCAGGCTGCTCTCGAACTTCTGACCTCAGGTGATCTGCTCTCCTCAGCCTCCCAAAGTGCTGGGATTATAGGTGTGAACCCCTGTGCCCAGGCTTGGTCTAGTTTTATGAGACCTTAAACTTATACTATTTGGGATTACCCCCTTTTAAAAAAGAAAAAACATGAACATACATTTAAGTGTGAATGGGAACATTTATAATATATAAGACAAATGTAATATAAAAGGATAAAGATAAATAGACATATAGGGTGGTAAACTTTCTATATTTTACTTGGAGTGGTAAAATATTGACTCTAGACTCTGACAGGTCAAAATAGAGCAATCGCTAAAAATAACTATACAAAGATATTTAGTAAGAAACACAATAGAGAAATTAAAATGAAATACTAAATCGTGTTCAAACAACCCCCAAAAAAAGTTAGAAAAGGGAGAATAGTGGAATGAAAAATAGAAGTCACAAACAGAAAATAAGTATTAACAATAGACTTATTATTTAGGTAGACCTAAATCCAAACAAATGAATAGCTACAATAAGCATCAATCGTCGAAATGCACCAATCAAAAGACAGATGGTCAAGAAGGATTAAAACAAACAAACAAAAAATGTCCCAACTACATGCTATCTACAAGAAATTCACTTCGAATGTAATGATATATCCAAGTTCAAATAGAAAGGATGAAAAATGATATACCATGCAAATACTAACAACAAGAAAGCTGAAGTGACTATATTAATATCAAAGTGAACTTCAGAACCAAGAAAATTACTAAAGATAAAGAGAAACATTAAATAACAATAAGAGTCTATTTGCTAAGAGGCAAAATCCTAACTTAACAACAGAGCTATAAAACACAGGAGGCAAAAACTGACAGAACTGAAAGGAGAAATAGATAAATCCACCATTATTGTTGGAGACATCAACCTCAGTAATCAATACCAATGGACATAAAATCAGCAAGGATATAGAAAAACTGAACAATGCCATCAAGCAAATGTATGTAACTGGCATTTATAGAACAGTCTACCCGACACTAGCAGAATACAAATTCTTTTCAAGTGCACATGGAACAGTCACTAAAATAGACTTTATCCTGTATGAGGAAATGGAACAAATGACATAAAAAATTGTAGAGGAAAATCCTTTAGTTAATATCTTTCTTTTTTTTGAGACACCAGTCTCACTCTTGTCACCTATGCTGGAGTGCAGTGGCGCAGTCTTGGCTCACTCCAACCTCCACCTCCTGGATTCAAGCAATTCTCCTGCCTCAGCCTCCTGAGTAGCTGGGATCACAGGCACGCACCACCACACCTGGCTAATTTTTGTTTTTTAGTAGAGACAGGGTTTCACCATATTGGCCAGGCTGGTCTTGAACTTCTAACCTCAAGTGATCTGCCCCCCTCGGCCTCTCAATGTGCTGGGATTACAGGGGTGAGCCACCATGCCTAGCCCCTTTAGTTAATATCTTAGGATGAAGAGGAAAGTAAAAAATGCAGAGGAAAATCCTTTACTTAACATTTTAAGATGTGCTACTACTTACAGTGTTTCTGAATCTTGGAAACAAATCCAAAGAATCTTTGAAATATAAACACAGATGCTTTGGAAATGTAGTTTTATTGACTAGCTGTTGATCCTAGAAGTATACAATAAAAAATATTAGAATCTTGAATATTTTAAAAGCATAGAACTTAGAATAATTACCTAATAGATTTGTAGAATCTTTAAAAAAAATAGACTATTAGATACTTAGAGAGTATCTAAGCCAATAGTTTCAAAATTGAGGTCCCAGAAGATAGTACTATTTCAAAAAACCTAAAAGAAATTATGCTTTGTTAAATACAATTTACTTAAGACAAAACACCTTTCAAAATTTGGAATCTGCGGAAGAAAAATACCATGTTATCTCTTGACGTCAAAAGGCTGAGAAGCTCTCATATAGTCCAGTGTCATTATTTTACAAATGGCAAAATTTGTAAACGAATGCAAGAGATTGCATTTTTATGGGAGATTGCGTTACTGGTCATGATACTTCACTTCTCTCTGTATCCATGCCCTTTGCACTTCCTCCCACAAAAGAAGTGACAGGGTGCTAGTTTGAAACCTAGGCCCTAAGAAGCCTCCTGTGTTTCCGTCTACTGTCTTGTGATTTTGCCATCACCATGAGAAGAATGTGTCTGGGCTCCCATAGGAGGAAAATGAGAGACATAGAACGGAGCTGCCCCAGCTGATGAGTGCTGGTGGAGCCCAGCCTCTGGGAAAGCCCCAACCAACCCACCATCACATGATCAGACCTAGCCAAGGTCAACAGAGTTCTGGCTGATGCACAGATGCATGACCTACAACAGTAAATGTTGTTTCAAGCCACTGAGCTTTGAGGTGGTTCTTACACACCAACAGCTGACTATTGTGGGGAAGTGACTTGCTCAAGCCTCACGGTGGTAGTGGCACCAGTGGTTCTTTGTCCAGTTCTCTTTCCACTGTGTCAGTGTCTCCTTAAGTGTGGATGGAGTTCCATGAGCGTACCCAAGGTGACCCAGGCAAGCCTCAGATGGGACCTTGAAAAGCACTGACTCACATATGGGGAGAGTTATTTCATTCCCAGTTCTTCACTAGTCCTTCTGATAACTTTAAGGAGAAAGTCCCAGTTAGATGCTAATATGTCCTCAACAGCTCTCCAACCCTTGCTAATCTTTTTTTTTTTTTTAATAGAAAGAGTGTCTCACTATGTTGCCCAGGCTGGTCTCAAACTCCTGGGCTCAAGCAATCCTCCTGCCTCAGCCTCCTCAAGTGTTGGGATTACAGGCATGAGCCACTGCACTTGGCCTTTTATTTTTAACAGAGAGAACATGCCTCGGGTTCAAATTTTTCAGCTAGGTGAGAGAATCTAGCAAGAATTTAATAACATTATTTGGTTTTAAGAGTATTTTTACAAATACCTTCTAGGCATTGCAAGACATAGATCCTGCTTTTCCACTTGTAGTTGAGACGTGATCATTCTTCTTGGAAAGATCCCTTCAACATGAAAGCATGGGTGATTTCATGACCCATCATTCCAGTCCAAATAATAGATACTCTTCAAAATAGATCTTTTCTCACTGATGCTGAAAGGACTTTCCACTAATAGTATCTTTATAGGAATCCAGTAAAATGTGATATTGATCCTGGCTTCATTCCAGAACCATCTCTTCGAAGTGGAATATGGAGACAATGGCGACAGCAAAGCCAAGCAGCATCACACTGGCCACCACCACATCATGCCTGGAGGAGCCAAAGCCACTGTCTCAACTAGCGGGCTGGGCTGCCACTCATTGCTGCTCTGCCTGCTAGGCACCCTGATTTTTTTTTTTTAATTTTAAATACATTTACTTAAATAAATTCAATTAAGTACATTTAAGTTAAAAAAAAGAAATTTAAATAAAAATATGAAGTTAATCAAAGCATAGATGTTGGTAGATCTGGCCAGAACCGTGCCATGGAACCTCACAATTATATCCCACTGGCAGAGGGCACAAATAGGCACTTCAGGTGGGTGCTGAACTTGGGGGAGTGGAGATTGTTTGAGATACACATCCACAAGGTTATGGGTCGGCCTTGTGTGGGCCTGCCAAAGCTCCATTCTAGAATTCATCTTTAGAGATTGATTCATATTATGTGAGGACTCCGGACCGTGATTTGGATCCAGGAGGGCCTAGCTCTCCTCATCTCTCCATGTGACCTTGGCTGGACCTCTTGCCAAGGGCTTTGACTTAATGCTGCCATTCTCTGTGATATGGTTTGGATTTGTGTCCCTGCTCAAATCTCATGTTGAATTGTATTTTCCAATGTTGGAGGACGGCCCTGGTGGAAGGTTATTGAATCATGGGAGTGGATTTCCCCCTTGCTATTCTCATGATAGTGAGTTCTGATGAGATCTGGTTTTTTTGTTGTTGTTGTTTTGAGACAGGGTCTCACTCTGTTGTCCAGGCTGGAGTGCAGTGCCCCGATCTTGGCTCACTGCAACCTCCACCTTATGGGTTCAAGCAATTCTCGTACCTCAGCCTCCCTAGTAGCTGAGATTACAGGTGCACACCACCATGCCCAGCTAATTTTTGTATTTTTAGTAGAGACGGGGTTACACCATGTTGGCCAGGCTGGTTTCAAACTCGGGACCTCAAGTGATCTGCCCACCTTGGCCTCCCAAAATGCTGGGATTACAGGCATGAGCCACTGTGCCTGGCTGAGACCTGGTTGCTTAAAAGTATGTAGCACCCTCCCCTTCTCTCTCAGTGTCCTGCTGCAGCCATTTGAAGACGTGCTAGCTTCCCCTTCACCTTCCGCCATAATTGAAAGTTTCCCGAGGCCACCCCAGCCATGCCACCTGTACAGTCTGTGGAAGCATGAGTCAATTAAACCTCTCTTCTTTATAAATTACCCAGTCTCAGGTATTTCTTTATAGCAGTGTGAGAATGGACTAATACACTCCATGTCTAAATATATCTAAGTGAAGTGAGACTAAGTTGCTGGTCGACCTGGTTGGACTCAGACTTCTTCTAAAGGAAAGCTGCTCATGCCTGCCTGCTCTCCTTCCCTTACCGGCTTCATTTGGAGATTTCTCCCCGTCTGGTTTAGCAACAGGCTGATTAGGGGCCCTCAATACTGCCTCAGAGAAAATTCAGATAATAAATATGCCACCACTCTCAGTGGGAACATGTATTTTCTAGAAACACTTAAAGAGATGTGGGCTTGGGTTTGAGTTACTTCTGGGGCCTCAAAGGACCTTGGAGCCTAGAGGTTATCTCCCAAAGGGGAACTAGAGACATCCAATGTTATGGATTGAATTATGTTCCCCTAAAATTCATATGTTGAAGTCCTAATCCCGAGGATTTCATAATATGGCCTTATTTGTAAATAGAGTCATCACAGATGTAACTAATTAAGCTAGGAAGAGATCATACCAGAGTCGGGTGTTCCTCTAATGCAATATGCCTGGTGGCCTTATTAAAAGGGGTAATGGGGACACAGACATGCCCACAGGTAGAACACCATGTAAAGCTTTGGAATTGGTTGTCATAAGCCAAGGAACTGTCACAGTCTAGGAGAAAGGCCTGGCAGGCATGAGCAGCTTTCCTTTCCAAAGGATTTTTGAAGATTATACAAAGCTATAAAAGAGAGGACTGTAGGAATTCAGAAGAGCTCACCTAAGCTGTGGCTTTGTTCTAAATTATCTCCTTCTAAATGTTCAGGTAAATGAATTTAACATAAAAATGAGCCTCAAAAGTATCCAGGTCAAATCCTATACAAAATAAGAAGAAGAAGATATGGGGAATAACATCCTTACAGATTATGAAAGCACTTCAGAAAGACATGTTTGTAAGGCAGATTAGAACTGCAATGTACAATTTTAAAGTGAACTAAAAAGACATTAGGAAAAACTTAGCAATTATATTTAGAAATAAAAGAAATGTAATTTAAGAAATAAAGTCTAAACTAGAAGGAAGAGAGTGGCTGTTCATCATATGCAGAACAAATAGTACCTTAAGAAAAAGAAAGTTGAAAGTTTTTAAACAAAAGGAAATGAAACATATAAGAAAGATTCACGAGAAAAGACAAATATTGGTAGGCAAAGAAGATCCATCATAGAGATAATAGGAGTCCTTAAGAGAGAAAAATTGAAGCAAACGAACAAAATAAATACCACAATAAGTAATTAAAATCACCTTTCTTGAAACAAGAAATATTTAAATTTACATATTGAAAATACATATTGAAAAAGCACACTAACTATCTGAGAATATTGACCTCTATTGACCAAGATATATTCCAGTAAAACAACTAGTCTTTTTTTTTTTCTTTTTTTTTTTTTGAGACTGAGTCTTTCTTTGTCACCTAGGCTGGAGTGCAGTGGCATGATCTCGGCTCACTGCAACCTCCGCCTCCCGGGTTCAAGCGATTCTCCTGCCTCAGCCTCCTGAGTAGCTGGGATTACAGGTGCGCCCCTCCATGCCTGGCTAATTTTTGTATTTTTAGTAGAGATGGAGTTTCACCATGTTGGTCAGGCTTGTCTCAAACTCTGATCTCGTGATCCGCCCACCTTGGCCTCTCAAAGTGCTGGGATTACAGGCGTGAGCCACTGCACCGGGCCAAAACAACTTTTAAAGACAAATTTTAAAATCGGGCATCTAGGCAAAAAGAGTATATAACATAAAGAAAGACCATTAGAGTATCATAATTTTTTGACAGAAACACTTTATGGTAGATGAAAAGGAGTAAAATATTGAAGATACCTTAAGGAAAGAAAATATGAACTCAAGGATTTTTTTTTTTTAGATGGAGTCTCACTATGTCGCCCAGGCTGGAGTGCAGTGGTGTGATCTGGGCTCACTGTAACCTCTGCCTCCCAGGTTCAAGCAATTCTCCTGCCTCAACCTCCTGAGTAGCTGGGATTGCAGGCACCCACCACCATGCCCAGCTAATTTTTGAATTTTTAGTAGAGACAGGGCTTCACCGTGTTGGCCAGGCTGGTCTCGAAGTCCTGACCTCAGGTGATCTGCCCACCTCAGCCTCCCAAAGTGTTGGGATTACAGGCGTGAGCCACCATGCCTGGCCCTCAAGGATTTTATATCCATCAAAATTGGCATTCAATACAAAGGGTTTAAACTGTCATCAACCTACAAGAACTCAGGAAATGTTTTTTCCATGAGCCTTTCTTGAGGAATCTCCTACAATATGAGCATCAGACAACACAAATAAGTAGAGAGATGTCAATATAAAGATTGATTTTGAGCCTTTATATATACCCACTTGCGGAACTAAGACCAGAAAGAGACTATATATTAAAGGCTTTATTATTTGATTATGTAAATATAAAAATGGGGAGGGAATGGAATAGCATATGCAAAACTTTTTAAACTGTTGTCAGTAATTAGGATTGGTAGTATTGTTGTGTGTACAACATGGGATAAATTAAATAATTAAAGACTATTGACATCCTAATTATATCACTCCCTGTGATATTAAGAACCAGAATTCTCAGAATGTAAGAAAAAAGATTCAAATATAGTGTAAAAGAAGTTAAGTGAACAATCTGAGTTCTAAGTTAGAACTGAACTCATTGAACCAGTATGAATTCATGAGTTATATATATATATATACACACACACACACATACATATATGTATATTAGCTTTGCCCACTCAAGAAGCCTAGACTTAATGAGCAGCCCAGGAGCAGTGAACATCTCTAGCATTCATATTATAGTCTTGAAATAAAATTTCTCATTAGAAGGACCCAGGACTCCTTGAAGAAATGGCTGATTCTAGGTTTAAAGCAGGATATGAAGGTAGGACAAGCCTGGAATATTTTGTCATTCAAGATACAAAGAAGCTTCAAGGACTAAGGGAGATAAGTCAAAAGGCCTCAGGAGCCAAGCCAAAGAGCTTCCTACTGTTCAAAGATGGAACAACTTGATTGTCAATTAGAATAAAAATGCAATGGATTGAAAACCACAAACTATACTTAAATCCATGATTTAATAATAACAAAAGAATTTAAATGGTAGCCTTTGGAGGATAACAGGAACAAATTCATTATCTCGAAACCTGGTAAATAAAGAGAATCAAGCAGTTATCTTCTCTTTTATGTATTAATTATACCACTTGGGTAATGGTGTTAGTTTGCTAGGGCTGCCAAAATAAAATACCGCCGAATGGGTGGCTTAAACAACAGAAATTTATTTTCTCACAGTTCTGGAGGCTGGGAAGTCCAAAATCAAGGTGCCACAAAATGTGGTTTCTGGTGAGTCTTCCTTCCTGGCTTACAGAGGGCTGACTTCTCATTGTGTCTTCATATGGCCTTTCCTCTTTGCAGGTATGGAGAGAAGGACACAGACCACTGGAGTCTCTTTGTTTGCTAAGGGTACCAGTCTTATTGGATTAGTACCCTACCCTTCTGACCTCATTTAACCTCAACTACCTCCCTAGCGGCCCTATATCCAAGTACAGTGACATTGGGGGCTAGGTTTCAACGAATGAATGAATTTGGGGAGGGATACAATTCAGTTCGTAACAATAACCAATGGCGAGTGAGAAAAGTGTCTCTTTATAAAATTATTCCAGTTAAAAAAAATGAAAAAAAAAATGGAATTAGAACATCCCCTTTTTCCAATCCGCAATGAATCAATAGATCTAATCTTTAAGTGTCACTGCCTTCTCAAAGAGAAGCACCCAGATAGGAATGTGCCACATGATAAAATAACACAGCGTCTGAGCCTGATGAAGCCTCTGGACCAGCTGTCCATTTACAGTAAAGACGTTAAACAGAGGAATCTTGAACTTCACCAAGACTTGCAATCAGCAAATTCCAAACTATGGGACTCTGTACAGGTCAAATGGCCTGGGTTCTTCAACAGATGAATATTAAAGAAAGAGAAGAGATGGAAAGGGAGCCTGTAGATTAAAAGAGACTCAAAATACATATAAACATTTTTTTAAATGGCAAGACTAAACCATAGTGTCTGGGGGTGCACACTTGGATGATAAAAGAAGCAAGAAAGTGATTGATATGAAAGTCAGGGTAATATTGCTTTTGGAGGGGAGAGGGAGCTATAATTGGGATAGAACATACGGAGGGGCTTCTGAATGGCCGGCAAAGTTATATTCTTGACTTGAGTAATACTTTAAAGGGTTCAGTTTATAATAATTTACTAAGTTAAACATTTGCCGTGTGAGATTTTTAATGTGTTTTATTTTACAATAAAAAGTTTTAAAACATTTACAGGAAAATGATTTCTCTTAAATGACAGACATAAAGACAAAGATAATAGACTAATGACAAATTAGGAGATGTTTGCAATTTCTAAAATTGACAGGGGACAAATCACTAGAATATTCAAAGAAGTCCTTTAAATTGGCAATATATATATACTCCATAATAAAAAACTGGCAAGAGAAATGGATACCAATTTATGGAAAAAGAAACAAGCCAACAAGTAAGTGAGAGATGCTCAAATTAATTAGTAATATGATAAATAAAACATCAGAGAATTAGCACTTTACATTTATTAACCAGGCAAAAACTAAAAGGCTAGTAATACCTGGCAAAGATGTGGAGATAAGAGCCCACAGGCATGGCTGGAAAGAATGTAGACTGGAACAGCCATTCTGGAGAAATAATTTGGCTGAACTTAACCAAAGTAAGTATGTGCATATGCTATGACCCAGAAACAACAACATTTCAGAAAACTTGAGCAGATTGGAGAGCAATTTGGGAGTTTGATAAGAGATCTCCCCAACTCCCTGAGAAATCACACCAAATAACAACTCTATTCTTGTGGAAGGGAAGGGTATTTACAAAATCTTGGGCATCTCTTTGGAGTCTAGCACATACCATCCTTGTGATCTTGGATGAAGTCTCAGTCTGTATTACCTGAGCTCATCGTATTACTTCCTTGGGTTAAATTGATTAAATGTGCTTTCGTTGCTGTTAATGTGGGTATGTAGAGAGAGTCTAGAGCTCATGAGATAATTTCTGGCTAGAATCATTTGAGAGTCATAAAATATAAATGATATTTAAAATCATGAGACTGAACAAAAGGGTTGCTATGGTCTGAATGTGTTCCCCAAAATGTGTGTGTTGGAAACTTAATTGCCAATGCAACAGTGTTGAAGTGGGGCCTTTTGAAAGGTGTTTAAGCCATGAGGGCAGAATGGATCAAGGTACTGATAAAAGAGCTTGATGGAGGGAGTTTGTTCCTTTTTCATAATTCCGTATCTTCCACTATGTGAATTTACAGATTTCCTCTCCTCTGGAGGACAACAGCATCAAGGCACCATCTAGGAAGCAGAGGGCAGCCCTCACCACACGTCTGAACATGCTGCTGCCTTGATCTTGGACTTTCCAGCTTCTAGAACTGTGAGAAATAAGTTTGTTTTCTTTGTAAATTACCCAGTAGAGGTATTAAATTATATACAAAGAGAATAAGGAAAGCACGTAAAAGGAATATATAGAAGGAAAAGAAAGAGTCCTAGGACTGATTTTGGGGGTCTCCAACACTCAGATGTCGAGAACATGAGGAAGAACCAGCAAAGAGAACAGTGTCAAATGCTTCTGAGCAATCAGGTAAGGCGAGGTCTGTGAACTGACCTCTGGATTTGGCAATGCAGAGGTATTTGGTGACCCTGATGAGAGTAGCTTTGAAGGAGGAAAACCTGTTTGGCATAGAAGGAAAGAAAATGAAGATAGTGAATATATACAATTTTTGAGGAGTTTTGCTTCAAATGGGAAGAAACAAAATGTGGGGGTAGCTGCACAGAGATATTGAGACAAGGGAGGGTATATACTTTTTAGAAGATGGGAGACTAATGGTATATTTGTCCACTTATGGGAATAATTTAGCAGAGAGAGGAAAATGATTCATGGAGGGATGATTATAGGAGCAAAGTCCTTGATTAGATGAGAATGATGGGATCCAGCAGACACATGGAGAGAGAGAAAGGGAGAGAGAGAAAGAGAGGGAGGGAGAAGTATTAGAGAGACGTGTTGATGGACTAGTGTAGAAGTTTTTATAAAAAGTTATTGTCATTCCACTTGCTTTCATTTGTAAGCCGTCAGTTAGAAGTGAGGAGAGAAAGAAGGTGTCAAAGATGTGAAGAAATAAGAGAAAGTGAAATGGTTGCCCAGGAAATGGAAGAGTAAATTGACTAGAGAAATATAGTAGCATTGTCAGATATCATAGGATTGGAAAAAAATATACTACTTGCTAAAATTCTGGAAAGGAATGAACAGCAGGGGAGTAAGCTGAATTATATAGCTTCTTTACCCCAGACCATTTTCCAATTCTAGGCAAAAGCAGAATGCTGAGAATCCAAGTTTTATGCAGCACTGGACTAGTGTGGAAGAAACCAGCAGAGCCTTTGGCAGACTTGAGGGCTCATTAATCCCTCAAGACACTTGCTGGATTCTGGGATACCTGGTGCAGGAGGCTATAAACCTTGGCATAAAGCCTCTGAGAAGAGGTGTTCAGTGTATGACTGACTGAAGCACAGGGAAACTGACCTTCCTGGGGTTACCTTACAGTCTTGACTCAGTACAATCCCTGACTGGTTTATGATGATAAGCCCCACTCTGTGCCTAGCAGAGGGTAAATCTTCTCTAGAAGAATATATCATCTGGAGTCTCTACATTATGTATAATAAGTGGCATTCTATTAACATTATTAGTTATGCCAAAGCTAGGACATATCTGAAAACAAACAGAATAAAATAGACAATAGAAACAGGTATATGATAATGACTTTGACATGCTAAGATTAATATGTTAAAAAACAGAAAAATATGCACAAAATATTTGAAAAGATGGAGAATTTCATCAGAAAATTAGCGTCTATAAAAAAGAAAAAATGATACCTCTAGAATGAGAAAATATAATATCTGAAATCAAAAATTCATCAGATGGGATTAACAGAGATTTGATACAGTGGAAGATAGGATTAGCACACTTAAAAAAATGAAAAGTGTCCAAACTAAAGTATACATAGAAAAATAATAGAAAATACACGAATGTGTCATAGATATGTGGGACCTAGTAAAAAAAATATACATTTATTTGGAGTCCTAGAAGGTGAGGATAAGAATACAAAATTAACAATATTTGCAGAAATAAGAGCTAAGAATTTTTTCAAAACTGATAAAAGATATCAACCCACAGACTCAAGAAGCTCTGACAATCCCAAGCAGGGTAAATACTAAGAAAATTATACATAGGAACATCATAGTAAGACTGCTGAAAAACAAAAATAAAGAGAAAAATCTTAAAAGTAGTCAGAGGTAAATGACATTACCTACAGAAGAGCAACAATAAGACTGATGGTAGACTTTTCAACAGAAATGATGAAAGCCAGAAGACAATGAAATAACATTTATAAAGTGCTGAAAAAATATACATAATTGACAACTTAGAATTCTATATCTAGTAAAAATACTCTTCAAAAATAAAGGCAAAATCAAGATGGCTTTAGACCAAAAACAACAACAACAACAACCAAACCAGGGCTGAAATTTATCGCAAGATTACTGGTACTAAAATATTCAATAAAGTTATTTCTAAAAACCAAAATAAAATTATCCCAGAGTGGCCAGGCATGGTGGCTCACACCTGTAATCCCAGCACTCTGGGAGGCCAAGGTGGGCAGATCATGAGGTCAGGAGATCGAGACCATCCTGGCCAACATGGTGAAACCCTGTCTCTACTAAAAATACAAAAATTAGCTGGGTGTGGTGGCATGTGCCTATAATCCCAGCTACTTGGGAGGCTGAGGCATGAGAATCACTTGAACCCAGGAGGCAGAGGTTGCAGTGAGCCGAGATCGTGCCACTGTACTCCAGCCTGGTGACAGAGCAAGACTCTGTCTCCAAAAAAAAAAAAAAAAGAAAATTTTCCCAGAGTACAGAACTTCAGGGAGGAATAATTCAAGTTTACCAAGTGATAGGAAGGAAAATTCAAGTTTATCATACTCTTCAAATAATGGCCCACTATTGTCATCAGGATATATAAATATTCTCATTTGTTCTTTTATTGTTCCTCTCTTCTTTCTGAATCAGTCTTTCTATTCCCCTGCCTCACCACCCCCAACCCCAAGAAGACACCCTCCTTAGTGTGTATGCTGTATCTTCTTGATACATATGTATTGCAGAAAATTATAAAATTTTGTGTATTTATATATGTTTTACATTTATACAATATTAAAACATATTTTGGGCTATCAATCGCAAAACAAATATATAATATCAGATGATAATAAACACTAAGAAGAAAAATAAAGCAGGGTAGAGATTCATGTGATCAAAGCAGGTGTCTCAGAAGAGGTGATAATTGAGAGAGATCAAATAGAGTTAGGCAAGAAGAAGTACAGGGACTAGTAAGTGCAAAGGCCCTGTAGAAGGAGCATAGTTAGTGTGTTTTAAATAATCCTCATAAGTTTCTTGGAATCACCCATTAGTCTGCACTGGATACTGTATCTTGAGCCCCAGTGACTCATTTGGTTCTAATTTTGATGATTGGTAGCACCTGGTGCTGGGACAATGCTGCCTCTGGAGTTGTTAACGCCTTGTCAATCTGTCCCTTTTAAGTGGCGCCATGTGCACATGCTTTGGCACAACTATAATTGCAGTTTGGGTTTTAATTAGAGGAAGCCCCCTGGGACATTAGCTATGCACTAGCAAAGGCAGGCATCCTCCTGCAGAGTGCCCCTAACTAATGATATGCTCTGGGCAGACTGGTCCACTGGGGTCACCTGGAAGCTTAGGGCTGCAGATGTGGCAAGGGCAGCTGAGAGATGCCCTCCACCTGATGGTGCAGGTGGCCACCAATCTTTTCTTCCAGGATGGATTCCCTGTGTTGGCAGCAGCTCTCTGGAAGGGGAGATAAGAATTGCTTGCCCCATTTAATGGGGAAACCAAGGCAAGACTTTCTTAGATTTCCTTCAGGCAAATGCCATTCAAATCATTCATGAACCATTTACTGAACTTTCATTCAGGCCCAGGCTCTGTGCAAATGCCAGGTAGAAGAGTAAACAAGCCACAATTCCTGTCGTCAAGGAACTTAAAAGCATGTTCACATTTTGACTTTGCTACATGAATAGACCGTCTTGAGTAGAAGCAGTTATGAGCTAGCAAGCTGGAGCCTTGAAATCTAATCTCTAATCTGAACCACCTCTTGGGTAGAAGCAAGGGGTATCTGGTGTGTAATTCCTGGGCTCTGAGTATTACTAGACCTTCCTTTCTCCTCCCTCCTTTTTCTTCCTCTTTTCTCTCCCTCCCTAAGTATGTTTTGAATACCCACTATGTCTCATTCACTCTTCTGGGCACTGAGGTGTCAACCGTGACCAAAACAGGCATGGTTCCTGCCCTCACAAAGCACACAGTCTAGTGAGAGAGACAAATAATAAACCAATATATTTACAAATCAAATGATCACCAACTCTGATAGGCGCTAAGAAGAATATAGAGTCTTATGATAGAACATAACAGGCGGGTCAGGGAGACACTTTAAGGCAGTGACACTTAAGCAGACCTGAAAGATGAGAGGTAGCTGGCCAAGCAGAGTCCAAAGGGAACAGAAATCCAGGTTAATGAAATAGTAAATGCAAGAAATAACTGAATGTATTTAAGGGACAGAAGGAAGGCCAGTGTGTTTGGAGTATCTAAGCCAGGGAGAGAGCGGAATAGACAAGGTTGAGAAGAGGACAGGATCTCACTGGCCATGAGCAAGAGCTGAGATTTTATGCCCAAGGTGACAGGAAGTTTTGCAAGACTTTAAATCGGGGTGTATCATGATCTGGTTTATGATTTTAAGAGACCATTCTGGCTGCTGTTTGGAGGATGCATTGGCGAGGGAGTAAAGAATAGAAGTAGGGAGGTGAGGATGCTGCAGAGACCACCCAGGAAAGAGTTGATGATATTCTGATGTAGGTGTTAGCAGTTCAGGCAGAGAGGAGAATTTAGGGATATGTTTTGTAGGTGGAACCGATAGACTATGTCAAAGGATTATATATGGGTCATGGAGGGGAGAGAGGAGCCAAAGATAACTCCAAGGTTTTTACCCCAATAAACTACAGCACATGGATGGAGTTGCTGTTTGCTGAGATGGGGAAGATAGAGAAGTAGCAATTTGGAAGTGAAGATTCAGACTTCCACTTTGGGTGTGTTAACTCTCAGATGCTTGTGAGTCACGTAAGTGGAGATATCGAGTGAATAATTGGGCATACTGGGCTAAAACTCAGAGGACAAGTCTGGGAGAGGGAAATAAATGTAGGTGTTACTAGCAGTTAAGTAGTATCTAAATTAGGGGCTTTCAACTTTACCTGCATGTTGAAGTCACCTGGGGGAGGTTTTTAACTCTAGGTACCCAGGATATAATGCAGACCATTAAAATCAGAATCTCTGGGGGATGAGATCCTGGTGTCCATATTTTAAAGCACCCCGGGTGATTCCAATTTGCAGCCAAGGCTGAGAAACAAGGCTCTCAACACTGGTTGAGATAGAGCAGTGAGAGGTTCTCAAGGGGTGGTCCCAGGACCAGCATCATCACCATCACCTAGAAATTGTTAGAAATGCAAGTGTTCAGGTTTCACCCTAGAGCGATGAAATCAGACACTGTGGGAGTGAGACCCAGCAATCTATGTGTTAACAAGCCCTCCCTGTGACGGTGATGCATGCTAAGGTTTGAGAAACCTGAGACAGAAAGAGCATAGGGGGTGGGAAGGAGGAGAGGAGCTCACATGTGAGTCCTGAGTCAGCTGGCATCTAGAAACCAGGTAGATGGGGAGAAGCCAGCAGAGGAGACTGAGGAACAACCAGGGCTGTGAGCATACAGAAGCCCAGACAGGATCATGTATCAAGGAGGGTGCTGCCAACTGGATTGAATGCTCAGGGAATTCAAATAAAATAAGATCAGGAAAATGAGTACTGGATTTGGCAGCATGCAATCCTGGTTGGCTTGGCAGAAGCTGTTTTAGCACAATCGAAGCAAGTCCCTGGAGGAGGAAATGGTCTTGCAGGCTTGCGCTTGGCATGGACTTGGGACTCAGGCTGGGCTCAGACAGTAATTGCTTTTCCTTTCACCTTCGGAAAGTTCATTGTTGAACAAATGCGAAGTATTATTCTCTTCCAATATTGATTTTTTCTTAATAAGTCATGAATAATAATAAAAGTAGATTATTATTTTATAAGCTTGTGGCCTTCAGAGTGCTACTGGCAATCCAAATTTTCACAAAAATTCTGTGAGGTAGAAAGTTAGATCAGGAGTAGATATTGTGAGTTGATTACACAGCAGCCAATTCTTACCCCCTTCTCGTTTGCTGCTTCCCCCAAAGGAGGCTGAACAACAACAACAACAAAACCCTGATATTGGCATTCCCACTTCACTTTCCTGCTAGAGTGGCCATATGATCCATGTCTGCCCAGTAAAATGTAAAGGGAACCTTCTGTGAGACTTTAGGGAAGACACTGTGGAAATATTAAGGTTGGTGCAAAAGTAATTGCTGTTTTTGCTGTTGGTGCAAAAGTAATTGCTGTTTTTTCCATTGAAAGTAATGGCAAAAACCACAACTACTTTTGCACCACAATTTGCCATTGAAAGTAATGGCAAAAACCACAATTACTTTTGCACCAACCTAGTAGAATGGGGAAAGGGAAGGAGGAGAAATGAGAGGGTATGAGTGAGCACTTAGTCCTTACATCACTGAGCCAATAAACCAGCCCTGGAGCTTCTTGCTTCCAGGCATCTAGTTTGTGAGATATTATTGTTTTAGCTACTATTAGGGGTTCTGCTACTTGCAGCTGCAAGCATTTCTAACTGATATGGGAAGATGTTTTTATTTACTTTTGGCAGATAAGAAAACAGCAGTAGAAAAAAGATAAGATTTTCTTAGGGCCTCACAGCAGTGAGTGGCAAGGCCAGGCAGGGTTGGGTTTGGATTCAGGGACTCACCCATACAAGCTTGTTTGTTGGGTCACTATCTCCTGGTGGCAAAGCCTACAGCCATGCAAATCTTTGAGGAGATGACATCTCAGCTGAGATCTGAAAGGGATGGGAAAGGTGTATGTCAGACAAAAAGTACAGTGTGTTCAAAAGACTGAAAGGCTACAAAGGGCTGAAGGTTGCAGGAATTGACCTTGAGCACTGGGCTGATGAGGAAGGGTCTTGAAATGAGTTTGGAGAGGTTGGTGTTCACCAGAAAGCATCTGTGTCACAGTAAATCATACTATTCCTAATTTTCACCTTTTCCTATATCCATGCCCTTTGCCACATGACTCATCAATTTTCTCCACATCTAATTGATGTTGAGCTTGGCCATGTGACTTGCTCTGGCTGATGGAACATGGGCAGAAGTGACAGCACACCAGCTCTGAGCTAAAGCCTATGAGGTCCTGCCTGCTTCCAGCTGTCTTCTGTGGGTCAAGGAGGATGAGAGACGCGTGGAGCAGATCCGCATGCATGCCTGGAGCCCAGCCCAGTCTAGACCACCAGAATCCCAGCTGACCTACAGACCCATGAGTGAGAAGAAGTTATTGTTTTAAGCCACTGAGCTTAGTGGTAGTTAGTTTGCAGCATTGTTGTGACAATCGCCGAGTGAGATAAATGGGAATGCATGACAGTGGGAAAGGTAAATAATATAATCATACTGCCTCATAATCTAGGAGGAAAGTCAGTCATAAACACATAAAATCTAGAATGATTGATAAATAAAATGATAGAGGGAGGTACATGAAGTTGTGGGAAGATGGAAGGGGAGCCTAGCGTCATGGAGAAGGACAGCCAGAGAAGGCTTCCTGGAGGATGTGGCAGCATTATCCTGATGGGCAGAATGGAGTGGGGTGACAGGTGGGAGAATGGTGTCAGAGGGCACAAGATTACCAAGCTTATGCAGACGTGGAGGCATGAGAGGGGATGCCACATGTCAAGGGTGACTGGGAGTTGCTCTTTGGCAGTGACCTCTCTACCCTGTGCTCTGCTATTCACAAACATCTCATGGCAGGTAAAATCTACCAACTTGAGTTAGTTTTGTTTTTTTTTTTTCTTTCCAATCAATTGCTTGAGCCTCTCCATGCCTTATTAAGAAGTCTTGGTGTGTTCCCAGCTGAGATACTCATCCCATCTCCCCAAGTTTTCCAGGGACTTTATTCAAACATCAAGTGGAAGGAACTAGTAGAGCTCAGTCTGCAGCCATTTCTGCCTCTTGCAGCCACATGGTGCCTCTGTTGAACCCTGGCCCATGCAGGCGGATGAGGAGACTGCTTCCAGGGGCCCAGGGCCTTTCCTGGGCTCACTGGTGTCCTCTGCTTGTGTTCTAGGGTTTTAGCTCCTTCTGGTCTACATACCCATGCTCATCATTGTTCCTCTGATAGGGTAATGTGAGAATTAAATGACTAATGTGGGTAAAAAATTTGGAATAGTGCCTGGTGTATGTTAAGCATGCAGTAGATGCTACTTGTTTTCATTAGTCCTCACAGCATCACTTCTGTACAAGTGTGAGTTGGTTCAAAGAGACTTTTAGCCTCAGCCCTATAATGTGCCCATCTGAAACCCTCTCCATGAACCCATGGCCCTTAGTATGAATGGGGTGGAGGGACAGAGGAGACATCTTTTCTTGAGGGTCGTCTTTCCTCCAGACCTTAGCTTGGGCCACCCTGATCCACCAGGACAGGTCTCCCTAACTGTGGTTGCCATTATGTTAAACTGCTTGGAATCAAAGAAGTGACCCCAAGTAAAGTGGCACTCAGAACTGAGCTGACCCTGAAGGACTTGACAGCTGAAGGCGGGGGAAGCATGGTCAGCAGAGAGCCTTCAGCTTCAGCCCCTTCAAGGTTAGCCTCAGCTTGAGAGGGCCACTTCATCCCAGGCCATGCCCTTCCTGGGGCAACCTGTATTTGGTGAATAGTGAACTATCAAAATGAAGGGGCTGAGACAAAAGTCTGGATATTTTGATATCTTTTGGGATTCTCTGAGGGGTAACTCTTTTTAATTTTAATTTTTGTGGGTACATAGTAGGTATATATATATTTATGGGGTACATGAGATGTTTTGATACAGGCATGTAATTCATAATAATTACATCATGTAGAACGGGGTGTCTATCGAGGGATAATTCTTGCTCCCAACTTCCTCACCATGTTGACCAACGCTTTACTGGGTCACATTGCAGTTAAGTATCTCCTCCTCCTCAACCCTGATTCCTGCCCCTTTCTTTTCCAGATATTGATTCCTAATAAACACCTTGCACCTAAACTCTGTCTTCGTGTCTGCCTGCATAGAACCCAACCTGCAACACAAATTCTGATTCCTGGAGGTCAGGTATTGGCTTTTCCACTTCTTCTTCCTATAAGATCCAGGTCTTCTTATGCATATGGTTCTCCCAGGCATGAGCCTGGCAAACAATGGAGTAAGGTGAAGGGGGAAGCTGTCAGGCCTCAACAGCCTCCACTGCACCCTATCCCAGACAAATGATGCCAGCTCACCTGGCATTCACACAGCTAGTGTGTCTTTCCTTGGCCAAAAGAGTCTAAGGCATCTTGTTGTTTCCTCCTAGTCAGAGCAATGAGTGGTGGCTTCTGTCACCTCATTATACACTGTACTTACTTGTTCTTCATCTGTCTGTCCCATTAGCTGGGGAGTTCCCCCTTTCCTTGAGGATATGCAATATTTTACTCATATCTATACAGAGAATAAATGTGTGTCGAATGAATGCCTATGAGTTTTGCTTCCTCCCCTGGACTGTGAGATCCTTGAGGATGGAAATTATGCCTTTTTCTTGCTTAGCACCCCAAGGCCTAGGGATGGCTACAGAAGGTGCTAATTAAGATTGGAGGGTAGATGGATGCATGAATGATTGCATGCCATGAAGACTGGCCTCTTAAGGGCAGAGGTAGACTACAAATGCCCCAGTGAGCATCACCTGGAAGAGAAGAGATAATTTCAACATGGTCTTGGGGAGACCTTTCAGAAGAGGGAGATGCTGAGCTGCACTAGAGGGAGTATATTGGGCTGGAGATGGGGTATTTCATGTAGAAGGGATGGTGTGAATGTGAAACCCAGCTGTCATTTCTGCCCTCTCAGCATTCACAATCCCTTTGGGAAGTATCTCCCTCATCTCCCTCGGAGGAACAGCCCCCAGTTCTCAGTCCAGGTGGGGTTGACCCCTTCCCATCCCTGAGCTACAAAGGTGGGTGGGCACAGGATTCAAGTCTGGCCACAAGATTGGTTTGGGGATGAACTCATGGACTAACCAGGCCCATCACTGCCAGTCTGCCTCAGAACATTTGGTACAACTTACGGGAAAAAGAACAGGATCTGTTAGAATGTCTTCAGCTGCAATTACAAAAACTACACAGCTGAACAGGCTGAAATGTGAAAATGCATCATTTCACATAAGGAGGAGTTTGTGGTAGGGCAGTTTCAGGGCTGGTTACTTTTATTGCTCAAAAATATGATCAGTGGGCCGGGTGTGGTGGCTCACACATGTAATCCCAGCACTTTGGGAGGCCGAGGTGGGTGGATCACCTGAGGTCAGGAGTTTGAGACCAACCTGACCAACATGGTGAAACGTCGTCTCTACTAAAAATACAAAAATTAGCTGGGAGTGGTGGTGGGTGCCTGTAATCCCAGATACTCTGAAGGCTCTGGCAGGGGAATAGCTTGAACCAGGCAGAGGTTGCAGTGAACTGAGATCGAGCCACTGAACTTCAGCCTGGGTGACAAGAGTGAAATTCCATCTCAAATATATATATATATATGAACAATGGCCTAGGTTTTATCTACTAGTTGGCCATTTAAAGCATATCAGCCTGTCCTCATAGTCACAAAATAGCTGCCGCAGATCCAGGCATTATGTCCATCCATAATAAAGACCAAAGGTGAAAAGGGACAATTTCTTCCTCTGTGGCTCTCACATCTATGGTCTACATTAGCCTCACATGCCCATGTTCTAACCAATCACAGACCAAGTACATTGCCTTAGGCAGTGCATTCTCAATGGGGCAATATTGCTCCTAAGGCTGTAAAAATTAGCTTAGGTTAAGGTATGACAAAATCTTAGATATGACAACCGTTTGTGACCCTCCAAGAAACCACACTACATAAATAGATATGTCTGTAGTATATATATATTTTGTGGGAGGCACTCTTAGGAGAAAAAAATTCTTAAAACAACTCTTCAGGAGGTCAATAATGAGGGGTAATAATGAAAAAAAAATGGAGAAATATTGCCTTAGACCAATCACAGTTCATTCCCTGTATTAGTCTGCTTGGGCTACCATAACAAAATACTGCAGACTGGGTGTCTTCAGCAACAGAAATTTATTTCCTCCTGGTTCTGGAGGCTGGAAGTTCAAGATCAAGGTGTCATCAGGTTTGGTTTCTGGTGAGGCCTTTCTGGCCTGTAGATGGCCACCTCCTCACTGTGTCCTCATGTGGCATCTGCTCTGTGTGTCTATGTGAAGAGAGAGCTCTGATGTCTCTTCCTCTTATAAGGACACCAGTCCTACTGGATACCACCCTCGTGACCTCCTTTAACTTGAATTACCTCCCTTCAGACCATGTCTTCTAATATAGCCACATTGGGCTTTAGGGTTTCAACACAATTTCGAATTCAGTCCATAACACCCCGAGACTGGAGTTCACTTCCTCTGAAACACATGGATCTGGGAAGGCTGAAGCCAGGACAAAACCAGATCCCACCGTCAAAGAAACAGCACAAAGGCTATGGTCCAGAAAGTCACCTGGGACTGTTTCGGGAGCTTCTTTTCCCCTGCAGTTGCCAAGGTGGGAGGCTGGGATCTTGGAATTGATAAGATGGAGAAAGACAGCTGCCTGAGGAGTTAGTGAACACCTAGATCTACACTTTCTTTGTCTCTGTGTCTAAATCCACTTGAGTGAGGCATCTGCCCCTTGTTACTAAACAACGGCTCGTTATGCAAAAAGCAGGAGCTGTCGTTGTGTTCTCTTACATAAGAAGCAGTCAGAGGTTTGTTGTGGGGAGTCAGAGGTAGCCTAGGCCACCAGCACCAGAACGATGGGCAGGGAAGCACAGAGGACACCCCCTGTGGCTGACTCTTCTGCAGTTGGAAGTGATGATTCCACACATATGCAGGCTAGATCTCAAGACAGTGTCAAGGAAAAAAGGTAAGAAGCCATAATATGAATAGCATTTATGTAAATTAAAATCATACACACAGACAACAACATTGCACATTTTCCAAGGGCACGTGCATGTTTAAAGACACACGCCAAACACGTTAGGGGGGTATCCACATGAGGGAGGGATGAGAGGTGGGATGAGAGTAGGGATGAGGCATGAAAGGGACACATAAAATAAGGGAGGGGTCTCACTCTGGTGCCAAAAGTGTGGCTGGAGCTAAGGCATGTGATTAACCTAACTCTGCCCTGGCTTTCAATTAGGGAAAAAGGAAGTGGGCATCCATTTGGGGACCAAGGGGCAGGTCTGTGTGGCTGGAGGGTGACAGGAGGATGGTAGAGGAAGATGAAATTTGAAATTTGAGACCCTTCATGGCCCCTATCCTGAAAGGCTCTGAGGCCGGCATTTCGTAGACAATGGAGAGCTTTGAAAAATTTCAGAGGCAAAGAATCATATGATCTGAGTTAGGCTTTTGGAAGGTCACTCTTTCAGCTGTGAACAGTTGGACTAGGGTAGGGAAGAAGGTGGAGAGATGCTCTTAAAATTGTACCTATTAAGAAAATGACATCCGGCAGCATGTTATAAAAGTAGCTCTTGGTAGGGAAATGTCAACTGGGGGACTTTGAGCCCCTTGACATTTTCTCTACATAATTATCTCAAAATCCAAGCAACGAGTGTGCCCAGTAACTTTGGATATTAATGGACACTTAGACACCCTGTGCAAAGTGTACTGTGTGCCTCTTCTTGTCTGATGTGCACAGCACCCCAGAAGGTGGGTACTGTGATGGTCTCCATGGCAGAGATGCAGGAAAGGAGGCCCAGAGCCCACCCTCTCCACCAAGGGCAGGCTGACACTCAGCCCACCCCCTTCCTATTTATTTCTGTTTTCTAGTTTAATTTTGGGCATATTTTTTCTATTTAAAGTTATTTGCTGGCAACAGAACGCAGTACTCAAAGAGACAAAAATACCCAGAGTCTCCCTAATTAAGAACAGGGAACACTCCCTTAGGGAGAAAAGGAAGAAACAGCTCCAGGCTGGCAGAGCAAGGCTGGGGAAGGGGCTAGGACTGGGAGAGGTAAGATGGTGACAGGGACTGAGAAAGGCCCTTGGGGTGAAGGAAGAGATTGGCCACCCTCACCATTCAGGCAGGAGAGTGCTAAACACCTCCCCTGGTTGGACTTCTGATTTCCCATCTGTAAGATGAGACAGAAAGTGGATGAGGAGATTTATTTACTATACAGTGCCCAGGATCTGCTGTGTCCACTTAAAACACAGACTCCCAGGCCCCAGCCTAGAGATGCTGGCCATTCAGACCAGGACAGGGCCTGGCCATCTGTGTTTATTTTCAAATATCCCAGGTGAGCTGGGTGTGCCGGCAAGGTTAAGCTGATGTTCCAGGTTCTGGAAGCAATGAAAAGTTGCCTGTATCCTCTTCCTCCTTTAAAAAGTAATGCTATGGCCAGGTTCAGTGGCTCATGCCTGTAATCCCAGCACTTTCGGAGGCCGAGGCGGGTGGATTGCCTGAGCTCAGGAGTTTGAGACCAGCTTGAGCAACACGGTGAAACCCAGTCTCTCCTAAAATACAAAAAATTAGCCAGGCATGGTGGCGTGCGCCTGTAGTCCCAGCTACTTGGGAGGCTGAGGCAGGATAATTGCTTGAATTCGGGAGGTGGAGGTTACAGTGAGCCAAGATCATGCCACTGCACCCCAGCCTGGGCAACAGAGGGAGACTCCATCTCAAAAATAATAATAACATTAACAATAATAATTTTATTAGCCTCCTCCCCCCAAGACCACCACTTTGATTGCTTGATTACAAATGTATTTCCTTGATTCTAAAACACCTCTCTACTCTTCCTGCCCTGCAGAGTTTAACTTTACCAAAATCAGAACAAGTCTTACAATCCAATGAAGTAGTTTTGTTCTTTCCTCTCAAAAACTGCTATTAGGTGTACAGTGCATTGTATAGTTCATAGTGTCATACAATTAGAAAACACAGTATAACATACTTCCAAGCTGAGAGTTTGGAAAATAGAAAAAAAAAATCACCAAGAAGACAATAAAATCACCCATAATTCCACCCCAGAGGGATCTACTTCTGATGTTTTGTAATATTTCTGCCCAGTCTCTTATTTTTGTTGTTCCAGGCTTGCTTTTATCATCAATGAGTAATTCTTGAGCACCTATTATATGCACCTCACTTACGTTGGGTTGAGGCTGGAGAGTTTAGAAGTAAAATAAGTGCTAGCCCTTTTTTTTGTTATTGTTGTTTTTGGTTTTTGAGACAGTCTTGCTCTGTCACCCAGGCCAGAATGCAGTGGTGCCATCTCAGCTCACTGCAAGCTCTGCCTCGTGGGTTGAAGTGATTCTCGTGCCTCAGCCTCCTGAGTAGCTGGGATTACAGGTGTGTGCCACCACGCCCAGCTAATTTTGTATGGGTTTTTGCCATGTTGGCCCGGCTGGTCTTGAAATCCTAGTCTCAAGTGGTGGATTTTTGCCATGTTGACCAGGCTGGTCTTGAACTCCTAAGCTCAAGTGATACGCCTGCCTCAGCCTCCCAAAGTGCTGGGATTACAGGTGTGAGCCACCATGCCCAGCTATGTGCTCGCACTTTAGGTACATGATTGCTTCATTTCACAGAACAGCGTGGGAGATGGAGGATTTTATTTCTCCTCAGCACAGGAGGAAACAGGCTGAGGAGGGAAAGGTCTTGTCCGAGTTGTCATGCTTGGCGAATGGCTGAACTGGGATGAGAGTACAGGCAGCTGGAGATGATGCTGCCTCTCCGGGCAGAGGCCTGTCTGGCTGGAGGGAGGAGGGTTCATGGATAGGGTCAGCTGGCATTGGGGGACAGGTTTGTTTCTTAGTGGATCAGGGGCCTTCTGGAGAACCATACAGAGGCTGTGTTAGCAATAACATGGCTCTGCAGCTGAGACCTATGTTCAAATTCAGAACCTTGTCTTACAGATCATTTAACTACGTTGAGTCTCAGTTTCCTCATCTGTAAGTTGAAGATGAATGATACTTCCCTCTAAGGGCTGAAGGATGAAAAGTGACACATGCAAAGCACGTGAATACTTAATATAGAGAAACCGGAACCACTGGAGTTTGGATCAAGAGTAGAGACAAAATACTAGAAGTCTTTATGACATGTCACTATAAATATACATATTCCAAGATGGTGTGGCTATGTTAGCCCAATTCTTTTTGGATATTTTGGTTAAAAATCTAGGAGATATAATGGGGGCTTCTATTATGAACTGATTCACTCGTAATTCGGGGGGAAGAAAAAAATCAGTTTGGTTCAGTTAAATAAAAACAAAAACAATCTTCAAGTTTGAGGTCTGGCATAGTTGTCTATCTCCTCTGGCTTGGGAATTCTCAATCAGTTCAAGTTCAACCCAGAACTTCCCTCTCTTCAATACAGGTGTCTGTGCTTTTAGGAGCAGCCGCAAGGTGCTGGGCCACCTGAGTCTGCCATGCATGGGCCACGGGCTCCTACCGACCCTCCTGATGCTCACAGCCCTGGCACTGGGGTTGGGCAGTGGGGACAGGACACAACAGTGCTGCCAATCCCTGATGCCCATGCTCAAGACCATGAGAGGAGGAAAGACCAAGGTGAAACTGGGGGAAAAGGGTGAGGACTTGTGGAGTATCTCCAGGGGGTCAGGCTCTCGAGTGGAACTGAAAATGCCGGGCCTGGGTCAGGGTGCTCCTCCACCTCCCTGTTCTTTGTCCTGGAGAAATTTTTAATATCTCGGTCCCTTTGTTTCTGTCTGCAAAGCAGGTTGTTGTGCAGATGCAATGAGGGGGAGGCAGGGAGGGCTTGGCTCAGTGCCTGGCACACAGTGGGATCAGTGGATGTTCACTGCTGTTATCAAAGTCTCCTTGATTTTCACTGTGACACTGAGAGGTAACTGCTGTTGTTTCTGCCGTTTTACAGATGACGAAACTCAGGCTCAGAGTGGTGAACTGGCTCGCCCAAGGTGACAGAGCTGAGTTCCAGAGATGGAACTCAGATCCGTCTGCTTCAGAATTTGTGCCCTTTCTTGGACAGGACAAAGCAGTTTGTGGAGTTCCAGTTTGTAGGTGATGACACTGAGATTTGCACCTTGATCAGCCCAGCCCTGAGGTCTGCACTTTTTGGGGACATAAGAGAATCTTCCTGCTTTGCTTTTGGCTTGGGCCACACCAGCCAGACAGGACTCCAAGGAGTCAGGGCTGCGGAGTCTGTAAGATAGAGGGTTTTCAGTAACTGGGCCTTGTTTGGGGCTAGTCATTTTGGAACAGCAGAGAGGGCGGGGAGGGGGGGGGAACAGGAGGTGTGGTCTCACTCCCAGGCATATGGGAACCGGCTGTCAGCTAATATGGAAAATGATTAAGACAGCTTAATTTTTTTATTTTTTATATATACTAATAATGAAGCAGGAGGAATTTGGAGGGGGAATTCCACAAGGAGAGGGGAAAGTATTACAGATGTTGAAATCACGCATGGGGATGGCTCTGGCCCTGGTGGTACTGCAGCCCCTGCAGCCGGGGTGGGAGGATCTGGTGACATCTGATCATGGGGCTCTCAGTGACTTGGAAAACCTCCCTGGACAAACCAGTCCAGGGGCAAGAGCACTTCTGGCCTGGGGTGGGCAGAGAAGCAGGGGCTCTTCTCTGGGTGGGTTCTACTCTCCAGGTCCTGGCTGATGCTTACTCACGCTGGCGGGAGTGCCGGGGAACAAGGTGAACCTTGGCTCCACAGGCATGATAAAGCAGATGGGAGGTGGGCCAAGGGGGTCTGTGGGGAACTTAGCCTGGGATGAAGGACGGTTGGTGGATGCTGCGAGGCCCAAGAGGGCTTCCTGGAGCAGGTAGAAACGGGATGGAGAGGCTGGTAGGGGTGAAGAGGACCAGCATTTGTTGAGCATTTGCTGTGCACCAAGCACAAAACTAAAAATTAGAAATGAATTCATTCAGCAACTACTTACTGAGCACCTACTATGTGTCAAGTACTGCCCTGGGCTCTGGGGATAATGCAAGGGAACAAAAGAGACAGAACCCCTGCCCTCATTGAGCTCACATTCTGGTGGAGGCAAGGGACAATAATCACATAAGCAAAAAAATACCATGTTGGGTGGTGATATGTGTTACAGCGTAAGAGGCAGATAGAAGGTCCGTCTCACTGATGAGTGCCTGCTGTGTGCGCGTGCAGGCACTGGTCTGTGCTTTGCAACTGTGACTCCTGCTTCAGTGCTAGCTCACGTTGACTGACCACTTACCATGTGCCTGGCACCGATCTAAGTGTTTTCAATGCATTAACTCATGTGATCCTGATGAAACAATAGTGGGGAGGTGCTATTATTGTCATCTCCATTTTACAGATGAAGAAACCAAGTTGAAAGAACTTATTGAGGGTCATGAGTAATCAGAGGGTGGGATTTGAACCCAGGAAGGCTCCAGGACCTGTGTGCTTCACAGAATGTTATACCAACAGGGACACAGATTCAGAGAGGTTGCGTGTCATGCCCGGGGTCATACCTAAGATGCCTCTCCTGCTACCACTCGCTTTCGTCCTTCCAGATGGCCTCCATCGCCCTCCTTTCCATCCTCAATGTACTCCCCAGTGCCTGCCTGATCTTCTTTCCTTACTCAGCATGGAGTCCTTACTCCACTCTAATTTGGCACTGCAGACCTCTGGTGCCCTGACTTTTGTGCCGTCTCTCCCTACCAGCTACACTATGTCCCCAGATATCCAGTACAGGCTGGATATCTGTCTCCTGCCCCAGTATTTGGGAGCTGCTTCAGTACCAGCGACTGTGTTTGAGCCCTTACATGCTGCTGGTGCCCACATGGAACCTGGCACAGAGGGGAGTCTGTTGAGTGTTTATGGGGCATGTCCACAGACAGGGCAGAAGAGAAAGAGAGGATCACCCCTTACTGCGAGCTTCCCAGCTGCAAGCAGGCACTGTGCAGCCAGCATCACACTGCACACATTTAATAGTCATAGAGCACCCCTGGGTGCCAGGCCCTGTGCCATGCCCTGGCACACAGCAGTGAATGAGACAGACACAGTCCCTGCCTCAGGGAGCTGACACTTCTAGTAGGGGAAGTCAGACAAACATCAAGTAAATCAGCCATCACAGATTATATACTGTTGTTCAAGACTTAGGGAGAAAATGAACAGGGAGATATAATTAAGAGTAAAGGGAATTAGGCCAGGCATGGTGGCTCACACCTGTAATCCTAGCACCTTGGGAGGCAGAGGTGGGTGGATTGCCTGAGCTCAGAAGTTCAAGACCAGCCTTGAACACGGTGAAACCCTGTCTCTACTAAAATACAAAAAATTAGCTAGGTGTGGCAGCATGTGCCGGTAATCCCAGCTACTTGGGAGGCTGAGACAGGAGAATCACTTGAACCCAGGAGGCAGAGGTTGCAGTGAGCCAAGATTGTGCCATTGCACTCCAGCCTCAGTGACAGAGTGAGACTCTGTCTCAAAAAAAAAATAATAATAATAAAGGGAATTAGCAATGGGGATGACTAGAGAGGGTGGCCAGGCAGGCCCTTCTAAGGTGAGACTGGAAGGATAAAGGATGAGGTGTACACAAATCTTCCGAAATAGATTTTAGGTTAGGAGAATGGCAGGTGCAAAGGCCCTGAGGTGGAAGAGAATATGATCCTCATGGGTTTAGGACAGGGATTATGTCTAGCAGGTGCAGCTGTGTATTCCCAGCACTGTAAATAGAACGTAGTGCACACTAGGACTCAATATTTGCTAAATGAGGGAAGACTGCCTTCTAAAGCTTCAGGCCTAGCTCTCAAAGCTCTCCCAGAGCCTGCGATTCCCCTCACCTCATCTAACCCCACATTCTCACTCTTAATACACTGCAGAGGGAGGAATTGTGGCCCATTTCAGGGAGACATGAGGATGGAGGAGATTAGGACAGGCCTGGGAAGCCTAGTAGAAGAGCTGAGATTTGATATGGGGGGAAATGGGGAGTTAGCAAAGGTTCTTGACCAGGGAGTGAACTCCCCGCAGGGCTTGTTCCACGGCTGATCTTTGGAAGATCCCTGAGAGGCCCCAGCTCATAGCCAAGCCTGGCTTGTCAAAGAGGAGTGTCTGGAAATTTCAGGACAGTGGGGAAATGGAACAGATGCTTAGCACGGAGGGTGTCATGGAGGCAGAGTCTGCCTGAGTCAGCGTTCTGGGTATCTAGTGCTGCGTTACCCATCACCCCTGAACACACTGGCATCAAACAGTCATTCATTGCATTCACATATTGTGTGGGGCAGGAATCCAGAAGGGCACAGTGGGTAGATTTGTCTGTGCTCCACGGTGTCTGGGGCCTCAGATGGAAGACTTGATGGCCAGGGGCTGGACTGATTCCCTCATGGGTCTGGTGGTTGATGCTGACTGTTGGCTGGGACCCCAGCTGGGTAAATGTCGGCCAGAACATTTACCTCTGGCTTTTCCAGGGGGCCTGGGCTTCCTTACACCGTGGTCGTCTGGTTCCCAGGGTGAGTGTCTCAAGACAAAGAGCCAGAGAGAAGCTGTATTGTCTTTTCTTACCCACCCTTGGAAGTTACACAGTCACCTCTGCTGCGTTCTATTCATCAAGGCAGTCACAAAGTCCTGCCAGTCTCCAGGGGAGGAGAAATAAACTCTCCCTCTTGATGGAGAGTGGCAGGGTTCATGAGGAGCAGGGGGCTGTGGCCATTTTTGGAAATGAAATCTGTTATACTCAGCCACCTGACAGATGGAGAAACAGAAGCACCTCCCTCCTTCCCAGGGGAATAACTTGTCTAGGCTCAGACAAGGAATATCCTTGTCTAGGGTATGGAAAGAACCCAGAGGATCATGTCTCCCAACCTGAGGCACAGAATTGGAGCTGGCCACTCCCATTTTCTGCCCTGGGAGACCCACTCTCCTCTTCCAGTCCAGGGCTCTGCAAAGACCAACCCTTTCCACACTTGGCTGGTGGCAGCTCCAATTGTGGTTGAGGGTGGTTGAGTCCACTTGCAGCTATGTTTCGCCTGCTATGGGATGGGTAGGTGGTCCTTGGAGAGTTCATTCTTCCTCAGCTTCTGGGCTGCTGACCTTCCCCCTACCCCATCATCTCTATCAAGGAGAGAGTGCTAGGGCCCAGCCTATTCCCCATCCAGCCACACACTGGGGTCTGACAGCCAGGGATGATCTGATTGGCTGAGCCCCAGTCAGGGACCGATCTCCAGCTCCATGAGCTAGGGCAGGGGAGGGGCCAGTTTATCAGATAAGTAGAGTTATCAGATAGGCATAAGTGGGAGGTTCTCAGGGAAGGAAGATTAGAAGCTAGACAGAGACCCCTAAAGTGTTTACTAATATATATTGGCTTCTGCATTAGATTTTGTTTAATGGCTTGTGGGTTATTTGGTTTCCTTCACCTTCCACAAACAACCCATCAGCAAGCCCTTGAAAATATATCCAAACCCACTCTGTTCACTCACTCTTATGTCCCCAGCCTCATCCAGGCTAGGATGACTGCACCAGCTCCTCTCTGGTGTGTCCATTCCTGCCTCCTTCCAACTCATCTCTGCACAGTGGCCAGAGGGATCTTTTCCAAGTATGAACCACATGGTATTTCTTCCCTGCTGATGGCGCCACCTCCACTGGGGCCACTTGAAATACAGACTCCTGACTGAGGCCACTGCCTGCATGGTTCACCTCATTTCCTCCTCTTGTGCCATTTATTCTGGCCACATTGGTATCCTTTCTGTGCCAACATGCCAAGCTTGGTTCTGCCTTGAGCCTTTTGCACATGCTATTTCCTCTGCCTGCAATGTCCTAACCAGTTCATCACATGTCTTTTGGGTCTCACCTGAAGTTTATTTCTCACTCATGCAATGGATGTGCCAGGGCAATGAGTGGCTCTCCTCCATGTGGTGATGCAGGAATCCAGGCTCTTCTAATCTTGTGGCTCCTCTATCTTGGGGTCTTGCCATCATTTGAATTCAGCCAGGGGAAAAGTAACAAGAACATGGGGGAAGCTCCCTCACTTCTCAAAAGCTAGGCCTGGATGTGGCACTCATCACTTCTGCTCCCATTCTATTGGTAAGAGCTAGTCACATGGCCACACCTGCATGCAAATAGGGCTGGGAAATGTTGACCCTGCCTGGACAGCCACTTGTGGGCTTTGCCCACATACTAGCAAAGGGGAGAATGGACTTGGTGGACAATTAATGACCTTGACCATGATCACCTTCTCAGAGAGGCCCTTCCCAACCATCTCATCCAAAGAACGTCCCTTCCATCCTTGTACATCTCATACCACTCCTCAATTTTCTTCATATCACATTTTATCTACCTACTTATTTGTCTGTCTCTATCACTGTCTAGAAAGTAAGCTCTCTGAAAGCAGAAACCTTGTTTGGCTAGTTAATGCCATATTCCTGGCACCTAGACCAGTGCTTGGCCCACAGTATAACAGATGTTTAACAAATGCTTGTTCAATCCGTGACAGGACAGGCATAACTTCCATTTTACTCATGGGGATACAGAGGAGACCAGTGGCTCCATGAACAGAAAATGCTTTGCTCAAGGGCCTGGCATATAGCAGGAGCCCCATTCATGCCCATTCCTTTCCCTCCCCATTGTTGATGCTGAGGCTGTTTCAGGGAAAGGCTGGGCTATGGTCTGTGAGCCGGCCTGAGGTTTGAGTCTGGCTCTGTCCCGACTTCTGTGTGTCCCTCCTGTCTCCTGTATGGGCCTCAGTTTCCCAGCCTGCAAGAAGACAGCAGAGCAGATTGGGCCAGGCAAACTTTCACATTCCTTGTGGCCTGAGAGTAGACGACCACCCCAGAGACATCTGTACCTTCTTTTTCCAACAGCTGACCTTTGGGAGAAAGTTCTTCTCCCCTTTTTGCTCCCCGTCTGTGGGCTTAATAAGGCTTAATAAGGGGCCTGGATGGGCCCAGCCCCTCAGTGCCCACCAGATCATACTTCCACCCAAGGGCAGGGTTGGGGGAGTGTGGCTAATGACAGGGTCCTAGTGGGGGGTGAGTTGACAGCCTCGGCTGGCCTTGCTGGGCCTCTATTAACAGACCACAGGGGAATGTGTTCCCCGGGTCCATGATTTTCAATTTTTCCACTGGAAAAGGCAGTTGGGAAGAGAGGGGCAAGAGGCTAGACATAATTGTTAATGCTTATGTCAGCATTATTCTATTCACCCTCCCATCTAGTTACCCACACATCCTTCCACCTGTCCTTTCAGTTGCCATTTCATTTATTCACCCAAGCATCCACCCACCTATCCATACATCCACCCTTCCACCTAACCATATACCAATTTACCCACCCACCTAGCCAGTAAACCACACAGCCAGCAATCCATCCACCCTTCTACCTACCCATCCATCCACCCCGCTGTTCATCCATTCACCAATCCATTCATCCATACACACCCCCATCTATCTGTCCTTCCCACACAGGCTTATCCAAGAGCCATCTGACACCAGCTTTGTGCCTTGGACCAAAACAGAGATGGGTAAAGATGTTGCCTGGAAAGCAGGATGGTGGAGCTCCCCAGACCCTCAGCTCTGGTACCAGACAGAGCTGCGTTCCAAGCTTGCTTTTCCCTACTTCCTGGCTGTCAGAGTGACTTCACCTCTCTGAGGCTGTTTCCTCAACTATAAATTGGCAAAGCGATTAATAGCTGCTTACCATATAGTAGGCCCTTACGGATAATGTTCATTGCTTACTTCCCCAGAATCCATTCCCTGTTCTACCAATTTCTGATGGGGAACATTTTCCTACTCTTTGGTCAGTGTAATCTGGGACGTGCCCTGCAGCCTCAGCCACTCAGGTGTTGTGCTCCTTGGTTCAGGGTGTGTGTGTGACCACACTGGTCCAACAGACTCTCTCTGTGCACCCCACCTTCATAGACTCTGGGAATGAAGTGGATTCTGAAGGATGCTGAGCAGAAAAAAATGGAGAGAAACCCCACCCTAAAGACATCACTTAAGCCCTTAGATCCTGCTGCACCATAGCTCCAGCCTGGCCTTTTCAGTCCAGCAAATCCCCTTTTTGTCTGAGCCAGTTTTCTGCAACCAAAAGAGTCAACGGATGCAAACTCAGTAAATGTCAGCTGTAGGGCATGGTGCTTCCCTCAGACAAGGGCAGCAAGCTGAGGATGGAGCCTCTTCTTCCTTGGGGACTCATTTGCCTTTGTGTTGCACACTTATGCAAGCTTGGTTGCCTGGATTCAGGACTCCATTGGGGTCCAAATTCTTGCTTCAGAGAGTCTTTGTTCTGATGGTAACTTTAATTAAGAGCTTTGCAAGTCCCTCTGTGAAGAGTTGCTCCATTAGAACTTAAGAACTGTCCCCAGAGAGGTCGTTCCTGTTTCCGATCCTCCAAACTCCAAGCCCAGATTTACCAGATGCCTCCCTTAGAGGGCTAACGAGCAGGCACTATGGGGGCAGAGAGGTCCTACCTGTACGGGATACATGGATTCACACTTATCCCATCATACCCCTGCTGAAGGGCATTAAATGCTTCCCTGTTGGCCTGGCATTCAAAAATTGGAGAATTGCATTTTGAACACCGGCCTCTGCAAATGGAGTTTGCTAGGGTTAAACTGTGAGGGAGATGGGAAGTGACCTTGCACGGTAAGGGAGAGCTGCATTGGTCAATAAGACTTCCTAGAGGAAGCAGAGCTTGGGCAGCCAGTGCAACTTGCAGATGCAGAGGGAGAGGAAAAAGCTGCCAGGCAGGGGATGCAGCATGGTGCAGGGCATGGAGGTGGAACAGGGTGAGACTGAGAGATGGGCCACAGAAGCTCTAGGTCACCACACCCAGCGGCGTTCCGCTCCTCTCTCTCTTTCTCTCTCTCATCGCTTCACCCCTGTGGTCCCTGCAAAGTTGGGCCCATTTCCTCTTACCTGGACATTTGCTGTGGACCCCCCACTGGTCTCCCTGCCCGTCTCTGTAACCTCCAATCCACCCTCCACAGCAGCGATTCATTCACCCATCCAACCATTCATTCGTTCAGCAAATATTCACGGAAGGGCAGGGACTGTATCATGCAGGGCCCTGAGGCTGGAGCCCCTCCACCTTGATGACCTTGTTTTCCTTCCCCCAAACCCCTATGTCATCTCAGGAGACCACTCCCTATTTCTGGAGGGCCCCTCTCTTTCACCCTCTCTGTCTTTGCACCTGTGCTCCCACTGCCTAGAAGCCCACCCTGCCCCGATCCTTCCCACAGCACTCTCCTCATCCACTGAGGCTGAACTCACTGACTTTGTCTCACCTGCCTTCCTGGGCAGGACATCCCTGTCACCCACCCTCAGGTCACCTCTCATCACAGCACTTACCAGCCCTTATCTTTCCAGTGTATATGTCTTGACTTCCCCCACTGGATGATGAACTTTTGGAGGGCAGGAGCTTTGACTCCAGGGGACTCAGTGCCGAGTTGGATTAAAGGAAGGAGTTTCTATAAGGGACCAAGATAGGACCCATAGGTCCCACTGCTTGGGTGAGAATACCAGCTACAGCATTCTTGCACCTTGGGACTCTGGGCAAGCTCTTCATCTCACTGAGCCTCCGTTTCCTCATGTGGAAAGTGTCCCCCTCTCATGGTTGTCATGAGGATGGAATGAGGGAATCCACACACCACACGACGTGGTAGGGAGCCTGAGAGGTAGACAGTGCTCTGCCGGTGTGAGCTAGTGTGGCATGATCGCTATTGTCAGATAACAGTGGACAGGTGGAAAGGAGGCTGGGGGCTAGCATGGATTCCCTCATCAGACACCCTTCCCAGCTGATGGGACTGCCAGCTGCTGATATTTCCCAGCCGGGAATGGCCCTCAGCTGTAGGGACTTGCCCTGCCCAAGGACACGTTCGTTCCAGGTGCAGCCTGTGGCCAAAGAGTGGTTGGTGTATGATAAAAAATGCCTGACCCGATCCTTCAGCTCCGAAGGGCCATCTCTGCTCCAGAGCTCCTGTGGGATCACTGAGATTTCTGTTGTAACTCCATTGTGCCAGCTGTTCACTCCTCCCAGGCCTGTTTTCCTCACTCCTGCATTGGTCTTACTCCTGAGCACTCTCCCCAATAAACCCACTGCACGCCAATCTCCATCTCAGAGTCTTTTCCCAAGAACCAACAGAAGATAACAGGCATGGCAGGAGCTCCAGTGAGAAAATGGTGCAGGAACCCAGGAGGGTGGGAGGTGGAAGAGAAGGCCAGGAGAGGAGGGGTGGGCACTGGCCTGGAAAGATGCCATCAGTCAAGTGCTAAGTCTCTGGTACATCTTCCAGCGTTTTTCCTGCCCTCACTCTCATTGTCCCCTTGTTCCCTGGTCTTAGATCATGTGGTTGGGAGTGCTTGCTTTGGGGCCTTTTCTTGAGCTGAGTCCTGACTGTTTCTGATGCACTATGAGGCCTTGGGCAAGTCCCTTCACCTCTCTGAGCCTCAGTGGTGCCATCTGTATAATAGAGTTGGGAAAAATTGACAGACGGGATACAGAGCCCTCAGCACAGTGCCTGGAGACCCTGGGCATGCCCCATAAATGCTGCCTCTTGGGCAATTCCTCCTAAAGGATGAAGAAAGCAGTTTACAAGTCAACTTGCATGGGTGCTGTTTTTGCATCTCGTCCTTGAGGCCTTCTGCTCTGCAACCTCCATAACTGATCTAGAAAGTTTCCCAAGACTTTCTAGAAATCATAGCAGGTTTTTCCATTTGGAAAGCTTTGCTCTATACCCTCTTATTTCACAATGGCTGACAATATCAAACGAGAATGGGTCACCTGAAAAGAGGTGTCACTGTGTGCCAGACAGGAATCTAAGAGCTCTACCTGAACCAAACTTTCACAGTAACCCTATGACATGGGTATTATTTCAAAAGCTAAAGAAAATGACATCCTCAGTGGATGAGAGGTTAGGCAATATGCCCTGGTCACACAGTGAGTGAGCAGAATAAGGCTGTGTAGGAGAGTGGCTAAGATACGAGACAGATTGGACTGGATTCGAATCCAACTCGGGCTCCACCATTTACTATCTGGGTGTTCTTGGGTAAGTCATTAGACTTTAACTTCACTGTGCCCTCATTTCCTTATCTACAAAATGGGGATGATAACCCTTACCTCTCTGACCATGGAGATTAAATAAAATAATTCATATACAACGCCTGATGCAGGCAGGCCTTTATTCACCTCACACCATACATGGAACACCTACTATGTGTTGTTCACTGTTCTAGGTGCTGGGGACAGAAAAGTGAACATAGTCCCTGTCCTCGTGAAACAGACATCCTGGAAGCAACAGCTAACTCATTGTTAGTGGTAACAGTTAACTGAACTTTAGCTGACACTATTAGATGGAATTTGTACCCACATCTCTTTGATCCCTCAGAGAGGTCTCCCCACTCCTCTTCCGCGGCAACATTCTTCACCTTAACTCTTATCACTCACAACACGTGGGTTTGGTTTTTTGCCCGTGATGAGTCTCCTCCACTGGAATGTAAGTTCTTCTGGGACCTTTACTTTTCTCATCTCTAAACTGGGATAACATCTATACTGTCGGGACATTTCTATAAGCTAATGTCTTCAAATCAGTGATAGACAAGGGTGGTTATCCTAATACAATAACACCCAGAACAAGGATGGTGTGTTCCGACCCTACCCAAGAAGAGTCAGGGAAGAGCCATAGGAGGCAGGGTTATTTGAGCCGAGCCCTCACAGTGAATACAATGTGAATCTTCAGAGAAACTAGGCAGGGGAACCTGCCTTGGCAAAGCCCTGAAGGCTTGTGTTCAAGCCCCAACTCATCCAAGATTTCTGCAGCCAGGCCAGTCTCCCTCTCCTCCAACTTGATCAGCGCTGATGGGTAGTGGGCAAACACTTACTGCTTAATACTTCATCACACACTATCCAGCCATGGTTACTGATGTTTCATCAAAGTAACAACCTGTGTTACTTTGGGTTTCCTGGTGAGTGCCTGAGCATCAGCAGTCAGAGGCCTTTTCTGTTTAATCTTTCATTCATTTACTCATTCATTCACTAATTCATAAAGGATTTGTTTATTTGCTTAACAAACACTTCTCAAGGGCCTCCTCCATGCCAGGTGCTGGGTCAGGTGCTGAGGCCCCATGTCTGAACAGTCAGGCTTCCTGCCCTGGAGGAGCTCATGGTCTCATGGAGAGAATAGATGAGAACCATCCATGCCAACAAGTAAATATAAAAAAGCAGTGATGACTTCCATGAAGGAAGCAAAAAAGAGGTTGAGAGATGATGTCAGAGAAATCCTACTTACTATAGGGTGATCAGGGAAGCCTTCCTGGAGGCAACAGTCAAGTTGAAACTCAGAAGATACAAGGAACAGCCATGAGAAGAGTGAAGAGGAAGATGTTCCAGGCAGAGGGAACAGCGTGTGCAAAATCCCTAGGTAAGAAAGAGTTTGGCATGCTGAAGAAATAGAAAGAGGCTAGGTTGGGGATAGCAGAGCAAGCTAGGGGCAAAAGAGTGGGAGACAGGGCCAGGACACATAGAGCCTGGTAGGCCATGGAGAAGAGGTGGGTTTTTGCTCAGAGCACAGTGGGGTACCATTGCAAGCTTTCAAGTGGGAAAATGAGAAGATCTATTGGATGCCAGGTAGGTGGGACCACAGGAGGCACCTGGGCAAGAGATGCTGCACATTAGGCCTCTTCCCCACACCCAATCCTTTAATCCCCCCATTTGTACACACCTTGTGATGGGAACTCAGTACCTTGGAATATAATCCCCTCCATTGTTGGATAGTTTGAGCTGATGGAACATTATCCCTTTTATCAGTGACCCTCAAATGTTTTCATCTCAGCACACTTTATATCCTTAAAAATTATTGAGGACCCCAACAAGCTTCTGTTGATGTGGATTATATCCACAGCCAGGACTAGAGTGAGTTAAACGAGGCACTTGCCTCAGGTTTAAAATTTGTGTGCCAAAAATATCAGTAATTAGGACATTTTAATGCAATATTTTGAAAAATTCACACTGAAGCCTGAGATGAAAGGAAAAATCAGTAGTATTAGTCTTCTCTTTATTTACAGTTTTAGTATTTTGTTCATCATGAATGTTTTTGCATTAATTTTTTTCATTGCTATCAGAGTGATGGTGGCATCACATGTCATATCAACTTTGGACAACCCCACTGAGGGTTAGAAGAACAAATAATGTCTTAGTGTTGTTGTGAATATAGTTTTGACCATGTGGATGCCCTGGAATGGTCTCAGGAACCCCACAGATTCTGGACTGTACTGTACTTTGAGAACCATTGCTTTTTTTTTTTTTTTTTTTTTAGACAGGCTCTTGCTCTATTGCCCAGGCTGGAGTGCAGTGGTGCAATCTCGGCTCACTGGAACCTCTGCTTCCCATGTTCATGCAATTCTCCTACCTCAGCCTCCTGAGCAGCTGGGACTACAGGTGTCTGATGCCACACCCAGCTAATTTTTGTATTTTTAGTAGAGATGGGGTTTCACCATGTTGGCCAGGCTGGTCTTGAACTCCTGATCTCAAGTGACCTGCCCGCCTCAGGATTACAGGTGTGAGCCACCATGCCCAGCCTGAGAACCACTGATTTTGATAAAACCAAAATCTTCATGGAGTTTCCACCATTCAATCTTAGGTCTATACCCCAGGGCTCCACCCATGTCTGTCTTCAAGGGGGCAGTAGCTGAGAGGCTGAACTTTAGAATTCATGCTTCTTTCCATCTAGTCCACGCTCAAGGTCTCCCAGAGCATGGGATTCCCACCCATCTCTCCCCATCCCTCCTCTAAACAAACCCCATTTGGTTAATGTTTCTGAAAGACTGAAGGCCCCCAAATTCCCAGGTGTGGCCTGAGCAGTACGGAGGTCCCTGTGGACCTGTCACCTCCCCCTTGAGACACGCCATTTCTATTCCCACCTCTGGGTCTATCTAAGCCCCCAGCCACCTGTCCCATAGTTCCTGTCCCTCATCCCTCCTGGCGTTGTGATTTGAGTGTGCAAAACCTCTCTGGGCTCCTGAAGAGCAGGCATCCTACCAAGAAATAGCAATGCAGGCAAAGAAAACCTCCAACGTATTAAGCTGGCTTCGTTAGGAGGCCAACTTCTGAAAATTCAATTTGCTGGTGGTAGAAACAGGATATTGAGTCTGGCCAGGATGGGCTCTGAGGAGGGCATCTGAGGGGGAAGAAAGGAGGCAGCAACCTGCGGGGGTAACGGTAACGTTGGGTACATTCCTCGGCAACACTAAAACCCACTGCTAATCACAAACAGATTCCTGCCTGCCCAGGGGCTTTCTTTGTTCACTCCGATTTCTCCCTCCAAACATGACACTGAATCCACCAGGCTCTGCCTCTCTTGGACTTCTGTCACTTCTGTGGGCCTCAGTTTCCCTGTGCTATATGAGAGGACTGGGCTAGGGTCTGTAATCCAAGCCTAATATCCCAGGATCTAAACTTCTCTGACTTAAAAGTCCCCAAGAATCTGGAATTCCAGGATTATAACATGCCCAGATTTTATGACGGCAGAATTTGATGAGTCAATGATGGCAGGTTCTAAAGTGCTATGATTTTAAGACTCTGTGGCTTGAAGATCCTGACCTTGTGACTTTCTACGATTCTAAAATTTGAAGAGTGTAAGTCTCAACGACTTTAAGTGTCTGTGAGGCAGTGCTGTGTGCTTTAGAGCCAGGCGGCCAGTGACCCTGGGCAAGTTACACCTTTCAGTGCCTCCGTCTTCACATCTGTGAAGTGGGGGGTCACATTGTTACTACCTTCTGGGGTGGTTGTGAGGATTAAAGGCGTTGATATTTGTAAACAATGTCTGGAGTAGTAAGTACTCAGTAAATGTTTTGTACCTATCATTATTCTAAAATGAACAGTTTCTACAGCCTCAGAATCTGAGATGGACCTCAAAGGCCCCAGAGTTGTAAGTTTCAAAGAATCCATTGTTGAAAGATTCAATGACATACGAATTCTGTCAGCTGGCTATGGACATACCATGTTTGGGCGTCCTTGACCCAGGATCATGGGATTTACCATGGGCAAGCTGAAGAGGCTGGCTGGCCAGCCTGAACCTGCCACTCTCAGCCACAAAACCAATGAGCATGACAAGTTTGGGACCCTCAACTCCTGAGAAGTGCCCTCCTCTTCCCCCAACACTTACCACTGGGGATAACTTGACCTTCTGGCTAAAGGCTCATTGACCTTGACTAGCTCCTGGAATCCATAAAGACACAGGAAGACCATCACTCCCCTAGCTTGGAACTCCATTCCTGAAGGACCTGCTGTGGCTCCCTACTGTCTTTCAAACCAAGTTCTATTTCTCAGTTCTTTTGGAGCCCCTTAATATCTTGTTCACTTCCAGGTAAGTAAAGATAATCCGGAATGGGGAAGGGAGAACTGGGATGGTTCATCGGAAGTTACTTCTAGGTCCAGGTGCATTTGTTCATTCTTATTCACAACACAGATATTAAATATCTATTATATGCCAGTCTCTCTTCTGGGCTCTGAGGACACACAAGTGAATAAGACAGACAAGGTCCCTGTTCTTGAGACCTCACAAGACTCCCTGACTCACTGTAGAGCATTATTCTCAGGGTAGAAGAGTACAGGCCATTTCCCAGCTGCACAACCTTGAACCAATGCTCTGGGCGTCGTTTGTAAAATGGGTCAATAACACTACCTACCAGATAAAGTTATTGCAAAGATTAAAAGAGATGGTAAAGAGCTTGGCACAGTGCACGGCACATAGTCTACAATCCATGAAAGCTGCTTATTATTATTATTGTTGTTACTTCATTTCTACCTCCAGCTCCTTTTACAGCACTTAGTGTGGTGGCTAAAAGCCCGACAGACCTGGACTCAAGTCCTGGGATATTAAAGATGGATAATCATCGTGCCTGCTTCCCAAGGCTGCTTACCTGGCATGTTGGCCATACCCAGCCAGGGCTCAGATGGTAACAGAGACACATTCTCACTTTCCTCCACTCTTTCCCCGAGAACCCATCCCAACCAGCCTCACTACCTGCATCAGGTCCCACACAATGCACAACCTGAGCAACTTCCTTTCCTCTTTGGGTTCCAGTGTCTTCCACATAGGGCCTGAGTAAAACTGGCTCTAAGACATGGGCTGAGACATTTGGGCATGACACAAAGGGCAATAGGGAGCCAAAGCTGGCGCTAGAGAGAGGGAGTGTCCATCTAAAGGGTGTCCCCTGTCTTCCAGTGGTTCCTCTATACCCTTTGCATCTCATCCTCACAGCTGCCAGGGGCTTGCTCCTGCCAATGCTGGCCATGAGTCCCTGGCCTGTTTGGGGGTTAGGTTATTTTTTCATTAAGTTTGTAATTATTTTTAAAATGCAAGTCAAATAGTGATGTGCTGAGCTGAGCAGCGGGGAGGTTAAAGCTTTTTCCCTGCCTGCGGCCTGCTTGGCCCCTATGCTGTTCTGGGTAATGGGGAACATTTTCGGGAAAATAAACAAGGAGGCCTTGATTCTTTGGGGACTTTATGAACTTGACCCCACCCCGACTCCATACCCCACCCCGTTAGCAGGCCTGGTCGCCCTCCCTGTTAATTAAAGGGGAGACTAGTTTCCAGGGCAATTTCAGCTCTGGCCGGGCCTGTGCCCACATCCTTAAGAGGGAGGCCATGGTGATGGGCCGGCTGGGCGGCTGGTGGCCTTGGAGGTAACAATTTGTCTTGAGATGGAATCCACTCCCCTGAATAAAGGGACTTTGTGTTCTCTCCCATTCTCATGCCCCCCTGGTCCCCATGGAGGGATTAGAGGGGAAACATCTGTGGTTCCCCAAGAACAGTGACCGCCATGGTAGGCAGCTCTTAGGCCACTGCCTGGGCCAGCAGGACTTTCTCATGCACACTGGGCCTCTGTCTGTCCTCAGAGCTCTGCCTTCTCATAGAAAACATGGATCCACGCAATCACTGGCTCATTCATTTGTTCACTCAACAACTCTTTATTGAGCATCTACTGATGTACCAGGTGCTCACAGGCACCGAGTGTATGGAGGTGAAAAAGCAAAGCTCCCCCTGGTCATGGAGCCCATGATCTAGTGGGGTCGACAAACCTAAAGATAAATAAGTCAATCAAATCCATTGGCAGGCAGTCAGACATAAAACAAGTTAGTAGAGAGAAAGTGACAGGTGGGTGGGGATCCTCCAAGGAGGTGGCATCTGAGCAGGGACCTGCAGGTGGAAAGGGGTGAGCTGAAAACAGTGGCACTTAGCAGGGACAGGTCAACCTCATGCCTCCACCCCACTTTTCCTCCTCTAAGCTTTTTGGTCAAGGCTGCTCTCCACTCTCTGCCAAGCCAGCAATGACTTATCTGTATTCTCCTTAATACATAATTTGCTATTTTATTAACTGTATCAAATGCATTTGTAAAACTAGAACATGAAGCCACCTTGGCGTATAATGTAGGCTCTTACTCCAGTAAGAGTCACAAAACCCACATTGCTGACACACTTCTGTCCAATATAAGAGGGTGCTTTTTCCATTTAAAACTCTAATGAAATGGTGGCTTTAAGATAGTAGACTAAAGACATTTCTATTCCTTTTCTCTTCTTAAAAAAGAAAAAAACAAACAAAAAACTTCCCCAAAACAAGAATAAGGAGCAGAAACAAAAACTCTGTCTTTGAGGAAATCGAGAGACATTTGTAACCCTGAACTACAAAGGAGGGAAATGGATGAAGTGGCCAGTGACATAACCGAGAGGAAGAAAGTCAAAGCTAAATGGATGGGGTAGGTGACTGCTGTGTGGGTGGATTGCTGCATAGAGAAACAAGCCAATTTGCCTAAAGGCCTCAAAAATTGAAGCTACTAGGTCTTGGAGGAGCTGCTGGTGAAGTGGGGATTGAAAGCAATCTGTACAAGGAGCATGGGACCTCCACGTCCCCAACCCCCATCCTGCCCAGCCAGGTAGTAACCCCACTCACTTCTGGGCAAGCAAAGGGAGGTTTATTCTCTGAAAAAAAGGCAACAAAGAAACTCCAAAACTAGAAACATCAGGCCCAGAGAAGGTGAGATCTTCAGCCCCCTTCACCCGTCTCATTCTAGAATGTCCAACCCCAGGCAGAAAATTATCTGGAGAACCACTTCCAGGACAAAGACCTAAAGATACGGTAATTGGGGGTGGGAGGAGAGTGCATCACAGAAAAAGCCAACCAGCCCCTTTGCACCAGCCCTATGCAACCACCCTGCATGGACCCTACACAAAAGCCTACCAGTCCACCCTCCCCACCCAGTTTCCAGCCAGAGTGGTAATGTGAGTAGACAGCCAAGGATCATTAGAAATTTCTATCATGAAGTGCAGAGATCAAAGCAAACCATGAGGGCGGGGTAAAAGGTCTTCAAGAAAAGAATCCAGGGAACAAGAGAAAACTTAAAATAAATCCTACAATTAATATCCCTTGAGTGATAAAGATATTGCAGCAGTAAAATGTGAACAAGAAGCTCTCTGGAAGGAACAGAGAGTAAGAAACCAGAGATTAAAAATCTGTGCAGTAGATTGCACAAATGACCCCAAGTTTTTTCTGTCCCAGAATGCCTGCCACTTCCCAATGAAACTGCAGAACTTCCCATCATGGCATAGAATCTGGTTATCTATTGTTGCATGACAAACCATCACCAAAATTAGTGGATTAATTTTGTGGGTTAAAAACTGAGGGAGGGTGCAACTGGGTGATGATTCTGTTCCACGTGGTGTTGATGGAGCTCACTTAGTGGTCTTCAGCTGGTGGATGAGCTGGTCTGGAGGGCCCAAGATGACATCACTCACCAGTCTGGCTCCTTTGGCCCAGATGGCTGGAAGGCTGTCTCGACTGGATTGTTGAGTGGTGTGTTGACATGTAGCTTTTCCAGCACGGTGATCTCATACCTCTTCCTCAATGGCTGGCTTACCCCGGAGTGAGTGTCCCAGGAGAACCAGGTGGAAACTGTAGGGCCTTTTCTAACTTATCTTCAGAAGTTATGCCATGTCACTTTTGCTGCATTACTAAGGTACAGGCCCAAGCAAGGGAAGGTGTCATGAACCCTATCTGCTGATGGGACAAGTGTCAAAGGATTGGTGCACATGTTTTAAAACTTCCATGCTACCAGGGGCTGTGCTCCACCAAAAAGAGGAACTAAACCAAGAAGAGGAACCATGAGCTTTTCCTGTGTAACAAATTGCCTGAAAACGGCCACCATTTATTCCCTTATGAACCTATAGCCCAGTAGTGGCGTGGGCTGGGCTCCATGTGGTCTTGGCTGGCTTCTCTCCTGTGTCTGCCGTCAGCTGGTCGTCAATGGCCTCACTCACATATATATGCTGGTTGGCTTGGCACAGCTGGGGTAACAGAGATGATTTAGCCATCGGTCTCTTATACTTCAGCAAACCAGCCTGGGTTTGCTGCCAGCCTGGTTGTGGTCACAGGGTTCCCCAGAGCTGAAAGGGCAAAGGCTCATATGCACAAGTAATTTTCCAGCTGCTGCTTGTGTCATGTTTGCCATTATGCCATTGGCCAAAGCAAGTCACGTGACCAAGCCCAGAGTCAATGTGAGAGGGGCTTGGACAAGAGCTTAGACACAGGCAGGGGAATGAATCTCTGTGGCTTTTATTTTGTAAATTTTCTATGATGAACTGAGATATAGCAGTCTGTGGTTTCAACACAGGAGAGACAAAGGAATTCCTAATGGTATCTGTGCCCCAAGTCTAGAGCAAAACTAGTCCAGATAGGCATCAAAGTTCAGAGCTCCAGAAAAAAAAATGGCAGCAGCATTAAATTATCAGACAGGTTTGTCTGTGAGGAAATCATGTTGAGGGATGTTTTACAGAGTGGTTTTCTGAGTGAGGGAAGACTTGGGTCAAATGTTCAAAGAAAGCTAAACAAACAAAAAGCACTTTTTAAAAGGGTATTGCTAAAGATGGTTTCTTTTTCTTTTTTCTTTTATTTTTTAATCATGCAATAGTTGGCCATATTTGGGGGGTATATGTGATATTTTGATACCTGTATACAACGCTTAAGAATTAAATCTGGGTGATTGGGATATTCATTACCTTAAAGATGTATCTTCATATGTAACATGGGGCAACACATCGGGTTCTCAGTCACGCATGGTGGCTCATGCCCGTAATCCCAGAGCTTTGGGAGGCTGAGGCAGGAAGAACATTTGAGCCCAGGAGTTCAAGGCTGCAGTGAGCCATCACTGTACCACTGCATCCCAGCCTGAGTGACATAGCAAACTCTGTCTCTAAAAACAACAAAAAAAATCTGGTCCTCAGGAGTGTCATGAGGGCCAGATGGGATCATGTGATCAGGCGACCAATGGGTCTTTAAAGATTTAGGTGTCCCATTCTTGTCAGTGAACATTGCCCCCAATATATTTAATATGTACATTTACAAAGTAAAAACATAATATATTATCAATCAATATATTATCATCTTATATGATATACACAAAATGAAAATTTTTAAAAGATGAGATCAAATATACAGATAGAATTACTAATTGTTTTTCTTGCAACCCAGTGGAGTATACTCTGCAATACATGGACTCCACTGAAAAAGGCTGGTCTAGGAGATAGTAAGTATTTAATAAACGTAAGCACTTAAAAATACAATTATTATTGTTAGATAAAACTCTTGTTCTTCTCCTAGACCACAAGCTCAGTGGAAGTAGAGACCAGATAAAGTTTCCCTGAAGTATACAGAATAGGAGTTCAACAAATGTTGTTGGTGGATGTGCCCAGGGTGAGAGAAGTGTAGCGGAAAGAGCACTGGGTTTGGGATTAAACAATCTTGGGCCCAAATTCTAGATTGGTCAAAAGCTCACTGTGTAGGCTGGGCACAGTGGCTCATGCCTATAATCCCAGCACTTTGGGAGACCGAGGCAGGTGGATTGCTTGAGGTCAGGAGTTCAAGACCAGCCTGGCCAACATGGCAAAACCTCTCTCTACTAAGAAAAAAAAAATAGCTGGGCATGGTGGCGGGCACCTGTAATCCCAGCTACTTGGGAGGCTGAGGCAGAGAATTGCTTGAACCTGGGAGGCGGAGGCTGCAGTGAGCCAAGATCATGCCACTGCACTCCAGCCTGGGCAACACAGTGAGACTCCATCTCAAAAAAAAAAAAAAAAAAAGCTCGTTGTGTGACTCTGAGCAGGTCAGTGCGATTCTCTGGACCTCAGTTTCCTCATCTGTTAGAGGAAACTAACAAACCCTCCCTGGTGGGACTGAAGTGAGAGTGACAGGTGTTAATGGCGTGAATGTGCCCTGTTCCCTGTAAGAATGCTATTCCACGGGTATTACCATCACTCACCCAACAAACATCCTCTGTCGCCAAATTGTGTTGAGGAGTGTTAGAGTGCTTTTCGCTACAAGTAACAGAATACTCGATTAAATGTGCCTTAAACCATAGAGATTATTCATTTTTTAATGTTTTAGATTGCTGTATTGCATAAATAAAGCACACGAATCTTGAGCTGTAATGGCTGAAGGAATTTTTTGCAAGTATATGATCTAGATCAAGATGTAGAACATTCTTGACATCCCATTTGGCATCCCCATACCTCCTTCCCAGCTACTGCTCCCCACTGCTCCACCTGCCATTGCAAAGGGTAACCACTAACCAACTTCTAACAGCATAGAATGGTTTTGCCCATTCTTAAACTTCATAGAAATGAATCATGCTGTATGTACTCTTTTGTGTCTAGCTTCTTTTGCACAATATAATTTTAAGATTCATCCATATTGCTACGTGTCAGTAGTTTATTCTTTTTCACTGCTATGTAGTTTAAAAAGTAACTATTTTATCCATGTAGTATTTCCAATATATCCATTTTATATATTCATAAAATAACATATACATCCATTGTATGGATATATCACAACTTACTTTTCTGTTCTTTTGTTGACAGGCGTTGGCGGTGTTTCTTGTGTTTTGCTGTTCTGAATAAAGCTGCTATGATCATCTACATACACATCTTCTTGTGGACATGTTTTTATTTTTCTTGGGTAAATACCTGGTCATCAGGTAAGTCTGTGTTTAGTTTTAGTAGCTATTGCTTAGCAGTTTTCCAAAGCAACTGTCCAAATTTACACTCCTATTATTAGTATTACTAGAGTATGAGAGTTCCAGTTTCTCCACATCCTCACCGACACTTTGTATTTTCAGTGTTTTTAATTTTAGCCACTCTGGTAAGTGTGAGATTGTATCCCATTGTATTTTTTTTTTTTAGATGGAGTTTTGCTCTTGTTACCCAGGCTGGAGTGCAATGGTGAGATCTCAGCTCACTGCAACCTCTGCCTCCCGAGTTCAAGTGATTCCCCTGCCTCAGCCTCCCAAGTAGCTGGGATTACAGGCATGTGCCACCACGCCCAGCTAATTTTGTATTTTTAGTAGAGACAGGGTTTCTCCAAGTTGGTCGGGCTGGTCTCAAACTCCCAACCTCAGGTGATATGCCTGCTTCGGCCTCCCAAAGTGCTGGTATTACAGGCATGAGCCAACAGGCCCGGGCCCCACTGTAGTTTTAATTTGCATTTCCCTGATGAATAATGATGTTCAGACCTTTTTGTGTGCTTTGCTTATTGGCCATTTTAATTTTCTCTTTTCTAGAGTTTCTTTTCAAGTTTTGCCCCAATTTTTAACAACTGAGTTATCTATCATTGAGTATTCTGTATACGAGTCCTTTTCAAGGAGAGATTTCAAATATCATCTCCCAGCACAGAGGCTGCCTTTTTGTTATTCTAATGATGTCTTTTGATAAACAACATGTAACATTTTAATGTTGTTCAAGTCCTAGGGTCGTTCAGAGGATCAACAATGTCATCAAAGTGTCGAGCTTTTACTGTCCTTCGTTTTACCCCTCAGAGTGTGGTAAGGATGTTTCCTTGTGGTCACAAGATGGCTGTCACAGCTCTAATCATCACATTCTCACGACCGAAAGCAGGAAGAAAGAGGGGGTGAAGGTAGATAGAGAGAAAAAACCCCTTCCCAGAAGTTCCCAGCAGACTTTCCCTTTTGTCTCATTGGCCAAAACTCGGTCACATGGCAACCCCTCACCACAAGAGAGGCTGGGAAACTATCTTCCGTTTTCAGCCTCTGTCCTAAGAGATGGGCTCTGCCAGCCTGGGAAAGGGGGAGGAAGGAGAAGCGTAATATACAATCAGTGAGTAATTACAATGTCTACTATGAGAATCAATTAGTAACTAAGGTAGCATGACCAACTGCCCTGGTTTACCTGGGAAATGGGACGTTTTAGAACTCAAACCAGGAAAGTCCTGAGCAGACCAGGAAAAGCTGGTCACCCCTACCTTAAAGAGCTTTCACTCAGCCTGTAGGCAGGATCGGCTAGACCTCGTCTCAAACCTAGATGGAGAAAGTAATCAGATAAGGTTCTAGGAAGGGAGTGTGAGGCTTGCCTGCGTCTTTAGTTACCCCAACCTTAGGCACCAGCCCCCGACATTCTACCATTAGCTCTACTCTAGCCAGTCAGTCTGGCTCAGAATATTGATGTGTGCCTCAGATGCGCCAGACTCTGCCCTAAGAGCTGAAATTCCTGGTTGCATCAGATACAGTTCCTTCCCAAAGGAGCACCAGACCAGTGGGGGAGATGTCAGGTAGACAGACAGTCAGATATGAGCATTGTGCTGGAGGCAGCAGGATGGGAGGACAGAGTGCAGCCTGGCAGGGCTTTCTGGGGAAGGCACTGCCTCCTCTGGGATGTGTAGGAGGCTGACTGGTAGAGGAATAAAAAAAACATTTCAGGTATGAGCACTGTCCACTCTGCAGTCTTCTTTTAAAGATGCTGGGCAGCTCATTCTTGGGAATTTATTTTCTCCTTAATAAGATTTTATTTCTCCCTTATAAAGGTCCACCTTCCATCTGCAGGGTTCTCTGCAAGCCCTTTTACATCCACTTATTTGACCCTCACAATGGCACTTTGTGGGTGCAGAGCTGCAAAGATGACTGCCTCATTTTATGGAGGAGGAAACTCAGGCCCAGAGAGGAAGAGGAGGAGTCACCTACACAAGGTCACATGGCTACTAAGTGCCCAGTGGGCATTTAAACTCAGCTCCATTTCCCTACAGCTGCCTTTTTCTGGGCAGGGCCAAGGTTGCTCCAGTGCTTGGGAGGGGAGAGCAGGTCTCCTCGTGGTAGACTCCTCTCTGCAGTGTCCCCCTGGCAAGAGCACCATTAAAGATAATGGGGGTCTGTGCCCAGATGTGGCCCCAGGACCATCCCATTGTACATCAGCCTGCCACAGGGAACGACTATCCTGTCCCCATTGCCAGAACCCTGCTTAGTCCTTTTGGAAGCAAGAAGCCCTCCTCCCCCTCTCAGAGAAATGGCAGTTTTAGGAGTCCAGGAGAGAAGGTAGCGGAGTCCCATGGGGTCAGCAGAGGTGCTGATGCGATTGGTCACTCACCAGACAGCATCAACTAACCCCACCCCCTGGGAGGAATGGGGTGGCTCCAGGCTCCTTGGTCTCTTAGAAGTGGCTCGGCACCAGCAGGGTCTGTGAAGTGGATTCCTTTCCCCAGAATCTAAACCCTGAAAGCCCTTCTGAAACTGCCATGCACATGGGGCGTCATCACCCACAGACCTCATAAGCAACAGTGTGGATTCACTCATTTATCGACTCACTCATTCATTCTGATGCTTTTTAGCATCTTACCTCAAGGAGCCTGTTAACATTAATCTAGTTCACTGTAGCAATCTTTTCTTGTATAATAGTTCTTTTCTTTTATGATAGTGCTCGCTTCTCAGAGCTGGGGAGACAATGATGGACTAGATTGCCTCACTAAGCCAATGGTGGAGTGAAAGAGACCTTAAAGGGTTAATCCCATCAATATGCAATTTGAGTGTGATAACACTCATAGGAAGAGCGTAGAGATAGACAAAGCCAGATGACTGATTTATTTGGGAGGTGTGGGAGGTTGGCTCACCATAGGCCCCTGGCACTCTTTGTTTGGGATCCCCACCTTGTATCAAATATTTTTAAATGTACCACATTAAATATATTTTTAGCTGTAAAGATTTTAAAATTTTTACCTTTTGTATATACAGGCTCTGAGTGATTTCTTTAATTAACACTTGTCTAGATTATATGACAATCAGCCCACAAGCTGGAAATGCTTTGCAAAGAGAGAAAAATAGAACCCACAAAGGATTTCAGCTCCACCTTGAAATGTTGAATGGGCTGGGGTTCTGTGTAGGGCTTTATTTGAGCAAAGAGATCTGTGGCTAAAATACCTTGAAACCTCATTTCCCTAGAGGCCACCACATGCACCTGGCTTGTGAGGTTTGGGCTGGGTGGGAAAGGTGGTATGGGACAATCTTGAGTGGTGGGGACAGCACTGGGAGCTCAAGGCCATCGTGAATGGGCAGGAGGTCCCTGGTTCTGGAGCTGAGTTCAGTATCCGGGGTATGGAATGGACAGAGAGACTCCCCTGGGTTGGGGATAGGGGGTGATTTGTGGGTGATAACTATAGGATAAAGGCCGGCTGTAATCTTGGCTTGGACCACCTCCAGCTGGCAGCTTATGACAGCTGGAGACCCCTGGGAGTGACAGGAAGCATTTCTGTTCCTTCCCGTGGGCACGGTATATGGGAGGAAGCTCCCTGGCTGCCATCAGAGAAGGAAGGCCAAGCCTATTCCTGGGTTGAGACACAGGTGAATTTTCAAACGAATCCTTCTTAAAGGTGCTAGAGCAATGAAGATTAAAAAATCATTATTATTAAAATCATGGTTCAAGAACTATAGGGCTAAGCTTAAACCATTCAGTTTTTAAAAATTAAACCTTTAAATTTTAGTGAGAAAAAATGATTATCAAAATTCATCAAAAAGGAAAACCGGTGACTCAGGAGCACAGGAATAAATGCTTCCCATTACTCTCAATTAAGAAATTCACATTTTATAAAACACAAACTATAAAAATCCTGGAAAACAACTTAGGCAATACCATTCAGGACATAGGCACGGGCAAGTATTTCATGATGAAGACACCAAAAGCAGTTGCAATGAAAGCAAAAATTGACAAATGGGACATAATTAAACTAAAGAGCTTCTGCATAGCAAAAGAAACTATCAACAAAGTGACAACCTACAGAATGGGAGAAAAATTTTGCAAATTATGCATCTGACCACAGTCTAATACCCAGCATCTATGAGGATCTTAAATTTACAAGAAAACTACCCCATTAAAAAAGTGAGCAAAGAAGATGAACAGACATTTTTCAAAAGAAGACATACATGCAGCCAACAATTATATGAAAAAAAGCTCAACATCATTGCTCATTAGAGAAATGCAAATCAAAACCACAATGAGATACCATCTCACACCAGTCAGGATGGTTACTATTAAAAAATCAAATAATAACAGATGCTAGCAGGGTTGTGAAGAAAAAGGAATGCTCAGTACACTGTTGGTGGGAGTATAAATTAGTTCAACCATTATGGAAGACAGTGTGGCGATTCCTCAAAGACCTAAAGACAGAAAGATCATTCGACCCAGCAATCCCATTACTAGGTATATACCCAAAGGAATGTAAAGGCCAGGTGCGGTGGCTCACGCCTGTAATCCTAACACTTTGGGAGGCCAAGGCAGGCAGATCACTTGAGGTTAGGAATTTGAGACTAGCCTGGCCAACATGGTGAAACCCCGTTTCTGCTAAAAATACAAAAATTAGCCGGAAGTGCTGGTGGGCACCTGTAATCCCAGCTACTTGGGAGGGTGGTGCAGGAGAATCACTTGAACCCAAGAGGCAGAGGTTGCAGTGAGCTGAGATTGTGCCATTGCACTCCAGCCTGGGCAACAGAGCAAGACTCTGTCTCAAACAAAAAAAAAGAAGAAATATAAATTGTTCTATGATGAAGACACATGCAACTGTATGTTCATTGCAGCACTAATATCAAAGACATGGAATCAACCTAAATGCCCATCAATGATAGACTAGATAAATAAAATGTGGTACATATACACCATGGAATACTATGCAGCCATAAAAAAGGGGAGATCCTGTCCTTTGCAGGGACATGGATGGAGCTGGAGGCCGTTATCCTTAGCAAACTAATGCAGGAACAGAAAACCAAATACCACAAGTTCTCACTCATAAGTGGGAGGTAAATTATGAGAACACATGGACACACAGAGGAGAATGACACACACTGGGGCCTACTGGAGGGTGGAGCGTGGGATGAGGGAGAGGATCAGGAAAAATAACTAATGGGTACTAGGCTTAATACCTGGGCAATGAAATAATCTGTACAACAAACCCCCATGGCACATGTTTACCTGTGTAACAAATCTGCACATGTACCCCTGAACTTAGAAAGAAATTCACATTTTAAACATACCATGGCTTTGACAAGGAAAAGGATATTTAATAGATAAAGATATTAAAGTAGCTTCCTAAAATTACTTTTTAATTACAAAAGAAAAAGTAAACAACTTTACAGTGGAGAAACTGGATGTCACCTTAACCAAATGATCAGTTAACACTAATAAAGGGACAAATTGACATTGTGTACCTCTTAATGTGATAGACTGAGAAGAACACAGCATCATTTACAAGATATTCCTGCCCAAAATGCATAACCTCAGTCTAATCATGAGGAGACATCACACAAACCCAAAGTGAGGGATGTGACATTCCATAAAACAACTAACCTATATTTTTCTTAAAGGCCAACATCATGAAAGACAAAGAAAGGCTGAGAAACTGTTCCAGATTAAAGGATACTAAAGAGACATGACAACTACATGCAACATGTAATCCCAAACTAGAAAAAAAGCTGTAAAGGACATTACTGGGACTGAACAAAATACAGACTACAGGTTAGTTAAAATGTATTGGGTGGCTGCATGGGGGGAACAGGCCTTCTGCCACACTGGTTGGAGTGTCAGGCCATTTGGCAATATTCACATAAACAGAATATTGCACCAAAGATGAAAGATACAAAATTGTATCCACTTTTTGATTCTATTTATATAAAGTCCAAAAATTAGCAAAACTAGTCTAGGGTGATAAAAGTAATAGAAGGGCAGTGATAGTTTTCCTTGAGAGGATAACAGTAGGGCTGCTGGGGTGCTGGTCATATCTCTTTCTTCATCTGAGTGATGCTGACAGGGATAAATACAGTTTGTAAAGCTTTATCATTTGCCAACCTATCTATGCACATTAAGTGCATATTATACTGAAATATATTTTTAAAGTAAAAATAGCCCTTTGTGTAAACCTCCACATTTTATTCCCTTGTTCTGAAGAACTGTTAACAGCTTGGTATTTCCTTCTAGATATGTTTCTATTTGTTTATACTGATAGGTTGACCAATGTAAGCGAGTGGATGGATGGATAGATAGATGGATAGATAGTAGCTAGCTAACCAGACAGACTGAGTTTGTTTGTTTGTGGTGTTTTTTGTTTGTTTGTTTTTGTTTGTTTGTTTGAGATGGAGTCTCTCTCTGTCGCCCAGGCTGGGGTGCAGTGGCGTGATCTCGACTCACTGCAACCTCCGCCTCCCGAGTTCAAGTGATTTTCCTGCCTCAGCCTCCCGAGTAGCTGGGATTACAGGTGCGTGCCACCACACTTGGCTGATATTCTGTGTTTTTAGTAGAGACAGGTTTCACCGTGTTAGCCAGGATAGTCTCAATCTCCTGACCTCGTGATCCACCCGCCTCAGCCTCCCAAAGTGTTAGGATTACAGGCGTGAGCCACTGCGCCTGGAAAGTTTGTTTTGTTTTTACCGTAAATGTTACATATTATTGTTCTGTGACTTGCTATTTTCTTTTGATAATGTATCTTGGAGATCTGACCACATCAGTATGAAAACACTATTTTTTTAAAGAAGAACACACAATATTTCACAGTCAGAATAAACCATAACTTTATTAGTGTAGTATTGTTTGGCATTTAGGTCATTTCCAACTTTTGCCATTTAAACAGCACTACAAAAACACTCTTTGACCCATTCCTTTGAATATTTGTATGTCTCAGTCGAGCGTATGGCTAAAGGAGGAATGTCTGCATCAGTGTTTGTGCATTTTCATTCTAATAAATGTTGCCAAATTGCCTGCCAAATATATGACCCCAGTTTACACACTGTCCATTCATTCACTCATTTATTTATTGACTCACATACTTGATAAATATTTATCAAGGATCTACTCTGTTCTGGGCACACTGTTCTAGGTTCTGGGAATTCAGCAGTGATGAGGAGGTAGTCCTTACTCTCATGGAACTTGCAATCTGGTCAGAGAGAGAGATCCCCAACACGTAGAGACGTATATATATGGTGTGTCAGGTGACGAGAAACGCTAAAAGTAAGTTAAGGTGTCTGAGCATGCCTATTTCCCCACACTGTGACCAACACTGATATTACCCATTCTTCTGATATTTTTTTCTAATTTGATAGCTATTTCCCCTATTGTGAATTGTGTTCTTATCCCTTTTTGCCCATTTTATTGATGGAGTGTTTTTTTCCTTTGTCCTTATTGATTTGTGGGAGCTCTTATTTTATTGTGGATTTTAATCCTCCGACTATTAAATATGTTGCAACTATTTACCCCAGCCTGTTAAATGTTGAGCACCTGTAATTTGAAAATCTGAAATTGAAAATGCTCCAAAATCCAAAATTTTTGAGTACCAACATGATGCCACAAGTAGAGAACTCTATACCTGACCTCACGTGACAGGTTGCAGTCAAAATGCAGGTGCACAACACACAGAAAAATAAAATTACCTTCAGGTAACTTGTATAAGGTATACACGAAACATGAATGAATTCTGTGTTTAGACTTGGGTCCTATACCCGAGGTAGGACTGTATATGCAAATATTCCATAATCCAAAAGAATCTGTTATCTGAAACACTTCTGGTTCCAAGCATTCCAGATAAGGGATACTCAACCTGTCTGGTTTTTATATTTGCTCATGGTATTTCACAAAGTCCTTTTGATGGGGAACCACAAGGAAAATTGTTTCAGACTTTTATTCTAAGAAAAGTTGGGCTTCTTCTCAGGAACCGGGTTGTTTTTTTTTTTTTTCCTACAAATCCACGTAACTGCATTTTCTTTTTCTTGCTTTGGCTACAAAGAATCTCAGAACAAACTTGTCTGTTCACCTTTAGCAACTGTCCAGAACTTTACAGCAGGCATTCAATAACCTAACCTCATCCTTGAGTTCACCTTTTCTCCCCCTTCTCACAATTTCATTATCTCTTTCTTTTCCTAATCTCTGGCTTTAATACATTTGTAAGCTGTCTTAAATCATTTTTGCAACAAGGTTGGGCATAAATAAATGATTTTGTTTCCCACTCACTGCAGCCCATTTCACAGATGATAAAACTGAGTCCCAGAGAAGGGCAGCAACCTGATCCAGGGCTGCAGTGAGTCAATGGGGAAGAAGAGACTCTCATTCAACCTCTCCATGCTTGGTGGGTTCCTTTCCTGCTCTGTCCATTTCTGAAGAGATCACTTGTCTCTCATTTGCCAACTGTATTAATCAGAAGTCTGTATTAATCAGAATTGCCAAGTGACAGAAATCCTGTTGAATAAACAAAGAGAATTACTTATTCCCTTATTGCCCCATAAGGTGCAAACCAAATGGAGTTCAGGCATGGTTTGATCCAAGTACATGGACAGGATCAGAAGCAGGCCTCCGTCCACACTCAGCTTTGCATCTCTTTTTGCTTGGTAATATCATCCTTTCCTGCTTCAGACAGCTTCATTCCATGTGGCATAAATATGACACCAGCAGCCCCAAGGCTACATCCTGACACATGAAGATGGAGACCCTCCCCTATAGCCCCAGCAGAAAAACAGGGCCCCACTTGGAAAGCTCTCCCCTGGTAGGCAAAGTGACAGACATCTTGATTGACAACTCCATCCTGTCTCTCGGAGTCAGGGAGGAGTTCCCCAGAGACAGGAACATGGGAAAGTGTGGAGGACAGACACACTCTTCAGTGACCAGTGCCTATTGTCCCAGGGAAACAAAAGACTCCCAATCAGCAGGGGAAAGAGATGCTCCTCCCAAGCACAAATCAGCCAGTGAGTGACTTTGGTCTTTCTTCAACAGAAACTCATCTTCTTCCCTCCTGCTCTTGAGCTCTTGGTGGCTTTCAGGGATAAACTACCACCATCGCCTTCAATAACAGCATCTTTCAACTCATTCTGCCTCCACATCCTGCCTTTTGCTGTTTCCTGTCCCCTTCCTATCACCTAGCCAAATGCTAGCATCTCTTCTTCAGGGATCCTTGCTTGAATAACCCAACCAGGAATGTCTTTCTCTTCTGAACTTCATACCCCATCCAAATACATTTTTTAAAACTAACAATGACTATGTGCTTGGCTTTACTGGAAAAGACAAAAAAAAAAAAGTCTCAGAAGGTGCATCAGATTTGACCGGAAATACCATTTCAGAGGATTGGCTGAGTAGTTTCTGGGAGGCTGTTTTCATGCTAGAGAAAGCAAACAACATACCTATCATGGTCCCCAAGGTTGTTTAGAAGACCAAATAAGAAAATAAATGGGAAGAGAAGGCAGTTAATATTTATTAAACACCTATTATGTACTAACACTGGCAAGCTTGTTATGTACATAATCTAGTTGAGACCTTCCCCAAACCTTGCCAGGTAAATATCAATTTAAAGACAAGAAAACTGATGTTCAGAGAGGTGAAGTGGCTCACCCAAGATCACACAGCCAGAGACTTGAAGAACTGGGATTTGAATTATCCAGCTGTCCTGTTCTCTTTCCACTCATTCCCTAATAAACACCCCCCATTATTAAATGATGACTCACACTACAGAAATGTCTCCTAATTAAATTTGAAAATAGGAAAAGCATTTGGAATTACTCTGAGGAGGCTAGCCTTAGCAGAATTACTTCCATACCAAGAATTTGTTCCCCAGCTATGTAGCAGCTGGATTTTTTTTTCATTTTTTGATGTTCCCAATGAGTGGAATGTAAGAAGCACAGAAGATGACCAGTTTCCACACTTCACTTCCTTCCCAGGCTGCCTCAAACCCTTTGTCCAACAGGGACATATAAATCAATTGATCAATCAAGAAACGAATCAATGAATTAATAAGTCCCCACTTTTGCAAGATATGCTTGTTTGGGGGCATTTATTGACCCACGGTGGACACACCAAAGTCCTAGGCTTTGTCTCCCAAAACACGGTGACAGTCAGTGGGGAAAGCTGGTTTGTCTTATAGCCAACAGTCCAAGAACACATCTGTTGCCAGGCTCCACGTCAAGCCACTGAAATTGTATGGGCGCTTTTCTCTTTCCTACCATATAGAGTTGTAGTAAAATAAGCTGGGTTTGAATATCCTGGCTTCATCCTCTCTGTGATCTGAAAGGCATTCCTTCACTGAGCCTCTGTTTCCTCACAAGTAGAAAGATGGGCTGTGCTGGGTGATTGTGAAGCTGGCCTCCAAAACTGGCCCTGAGTGAATCTGCAACTGCCTCTCACTCTGAGTCTGGTGCCTAGTAGGTACTCAAACAAATAATTTCTTGGGAGGTTGAATCTGAGTGGAGTGAAACGTTAGACTATGGGACTTGAGAGTTGGGCAAATCTGGTGCCACCTCTCAGCCATGTGACCTCAAGCACACACCACATGACCTCTCTGGGCCTCCGCTTACTCTTCAGCAAAAGGGAGCTGCTGATGGCACCTTCAGAGGGTGGTGAAGCTGAACCGGCTAAGGTATGTGAATGGTGCTCACTGACGGTTCGCCCCTTCCTTTCTTTACCTAAGGAAGGACAGGCTTATCACCTATAGAAGCTGAGGCATGGATCTCAGCTGTTTAACCCACAAGTTTTCACAGGTGTAATTGAAAACTGTTGCCAGGGTTGGGTGGCTGATGAAGGAGAGATCGGCAAGTATTGATGTCCAGAGCTCTGTGCCCCTTTTCTGGCAGACGAGCAATCACTCTACTACTGGGGAGACACTGTTGGCCAACTCACTTGAAATAAAGTCTGGTTACTCACAGTGACTGACAAAGCCTGCCATGATCAAGCCCGAGCTGGCTTGGGTTTCCTCCCTCATTCTGCTTCATCCATAATGACCTTTTTGTTGATTCTTAATCCCATCAAGCTGTTTCTATTCCTACCACTGGGCCTTTGTACAACTGTTCTCTCTGCCTGAAATTCTCTTCTCCCAAGTTGTCAGGGAGCTCACTTCCTTCAGGCTTCTGCTCAAATGTCCCGTTTCAGAGACGACCTCCCTGACTACCATCCTGCCTTAGTTACTCCTGACATCACTCCCCTGCTTTATTTTTTCTTTGCAGTACCTCACGTAAACTACGTATTTATTTGTCTGTTGCTGCCATTCACAGCCAAAATGTGAGCTCCATGAAGCAAGACTTTGTCTAGCTCAAAGTCATATCTCAGTGCCTGGAATAGTGATTGGTGGTTAGTAGGCTCTCAGCAACTGTCAAATAAATGGGTGGAGGGTGGATGGTGGATGGGAGGATGGGAGGATGAGTGAATGAAAGAAAGGGTGAGTGGTGGATAGGTGGGTAGATGGTGGATGGTTGGGACAGTGGATGATTGGATGGGAGGGTGGGTGGAGGGTGGATGGTGGATGGGAGGATGGGAGGATGAGTGAATGAAAGAAAGGGTGAGTGGTGGATAGATGGGTAGATGGTGGATGGTTGGGACAGTGGATGATTGGATGGGAGGGTGGGTGGATGGTTGAATGGATGGATAGGAGGGTGGGGGTGAATAGCAGATGGGAAAATGAGTAGGTGATAGACAGTAGATGGATGGATGGGAGGGTGGGTGAATATGTGGATGGGTAAATGAATGGATGGGAAGGTCTGTGGGTGGTGGATTGGAGGGTTGATGGATGGGAGGATGGGTGAATGGAAATGTGGTTGGATGGTAGATGGGAGTGTAGGTACGTGGTGGATGGTAGATGGATGGAAGGTGGGTGAATGGGTGAATGCATGAATGGGAAGGTGGGTGGATGGGAGTATGGGTGTATGATGCGTGAGAGGATGGGTCAGTGGGTAGAGCAGAAAGAGCACTGGGTTCTTGTTCCAGTTCTCTCCCACCTGCTGTGTGACCTGAGCTGAGTTACTCATGCTCTCACCTACTGTTCCCGTATCTGCAAAACACACAAAATTAATTCTGCCTCATGGAGCTGCTGTGAAAACAAATAATAAGATGAACTTTTTCTTTGGTTATTCCTGGATTGTTCACTATTTGATTAGAAGAAGAGCTTTCCATTGGACCATCTTGGGGCCATGTTAGCCATGCATTCTATAATGCTGAACATCTTTGCTTCCCTTATAAGCATGCGGACTGACTGCTCTTTGCATCATGGTTCTAGCAAGTATTATGTACCAAGTGTGAAAACAAGCAAATTACAATGCAATGTCCTTTAACCCCCTCTAGCAATCCTGAGATGAGGAGGCTGAGGCCAAAGGAAAGACTAAGACCTGCCCATGGACACATGTTGGCAAAGACCAAGCAGGAACTCGAGCCAGTTTACCTGAAACCAAGGTCCAGGCATTTGTGAAGGTAGAAGGCTGAATAAATGAAATTGTATAATTATATTAATTCTATTGATTGATTAGCAGCAGGGCTTGATCAGGAGGTATCATCTGCAGTACTTTGGGATGCATTTGGGGCCTTCCTATGGCTCTGGGGTCATTTTTTGCATATCCATCTTCTGAGAGGATGGGCAGAGGAGAGCTGAAAGTGAATCAGGTGGAAAAAATCAAGGAATATCAGCAGAAAGCATCACCTCCCCTGACTTTGTCTCTAGATGGGAGCCCAGACGGCCAGAGGTAAGACCGAAGCAGTGGGGCTGGAAAAGAGTGGGGGTGGATGGCAAAGATATTGGGAAGGAATTGGACAGTACCATTGACTCACTTGATAGAGGGTCTGAAAGAAGGTGGACCCCACCTGTGGAGCAGGTAACTGGAGGGAGAGTAGGACCATATCCCTGGCAAAGGGACATCTGAGTCAAATCACAATGATCCTGGATCCCCAGCCACAGATCATTTGCTGGGACCCCGTGGTGCTCAGAAGGACAGCCCAGTGGTTAGGAGCGGGGCTTTGGAGGCAGAGGAACCTGAGCTCCAGTCCTAGGTCTGTCCTTGCCTTAGGGAAATAACTTCCTCTCTCTGAGCTCTGGTTTCCTCAGCTGAGAAATGTAGGTAATAATCATAGCTGTCCTTTAAGGATGTTTATGAGGATTAAATGAGGCTGTGTGTGAGGTGCCTAGCATGGAAGTCTTCACTGGGGAAACCAGCTGCTGTGTTATGATGAGACTCAGACAGCCCTGCGGACTGCAACCTCCTGAGACACCCTCAGCCAGAACCACCCAGCTAAACCACTCCCAAATTTCTGGCCTTCAGAAACTGTGTGAAATAATAAACAAGTATTAGTGTTTCAAGCCAGGGCCAGGGAACTTCTATAAGGGTCCAAACAGTAAATATTTTAGTGTTTGTGGTCCACGTGGTCTCTTTCACAATTACTCGTACATTGTAGTGTAAAGGCCATAGGTGATACATGAAGAAATATAGTTGTGTTTCAATAAAACTTTATTTATAAAAACAGATGGTGGGCCAGAGTCAGTCTCTTGTCCACCCCCTGTTTTAAGCTAAGAAAATAAATGATTCACTCATTTCTCATAGTGAATTAAAATCATCCCTTTCCTCGTAGAGTTGATGGTCTTGCCTGGAATGCCCAACCCCATGTCCTGGACGTCTTTCGACTGGACTGCCCAGACCTCAGAGCAGGGTCTGTGTTGACTCACCTCATGTCTCCAGCTCTCCCAGCTCTCAGGGCCTTGCACAGAGAAAATGCTAACTTAACCTTGGTTTGCTGAAGGAACAAACCAGGTAAGACCCAAGGCACTATTTGTGCCACATGTGGGGAGCAGATTCTTGGGGCTGTGGGGAACACTCGAAGGATTAATGTGGTCTGAAAGGCTTCCCGGAGGAAGTGAACTTGAGCTGAGTCTTGAAGGATAGGTGCAACTCAGACAAGCATTAAGCAAAGTGATGAATATTTCAGGCAGGAGGGAAGAGCATGAGCAAAGCATGGAAGGGTAGACACATGGTGGAGTCAGCAGGTTGACCTTGAATGCCAGGTAAGGGGTATAGATGTCATCCTGGAGACCAGTGCTTCTCAAACAGAGGTAAAGTGGCTTCATAGATGGACTTTAGAGAGAAGGGCTGTGACTTCCATAAAATTATGTGGCCCAGAGACAATGAAGACACTGCAGTAAACCACTGAAGCCACTGATGCATAATAAGTGAATTGCTAATATGGGCAACGGGAGCTCAGCCCCATTGAGGTCCTCTTGAGACAGTGAAGAGCACACCTCAGGTCTCCCAACTCAGGGCAGGGGGCTGGTATTTATCCACCACCTCCCATCGGTCATTGGCTGAGGGCTGCTTGGGGACTCTCTCTTAGTTCTCCAGCACCTTGGCTTCAGACAGTTGCAGATGTTTGCAGAAGACTCCTTGGACATGGAAAGGTGAGTGCTGAGAGGACATGGGCAGGACAATGACCAGGTGGGGTGACACAATGCAGTATGTGAGGACTAGCAATTGAGCAACTGTATGTGCATTGGGGTGGGGAAGGGTGGGGAAGTGGGGAAGGAGGCTGGGGCCAGGGGAAGAGAGGAGGGGCCTGAGAGGAAGGCCTGGCTCACAGACCCAGCGGGTAGGTGGTTGGGCCCTTTCCAGAGTTGGAAGCCTGCAGGGGAAGAGGCTGAGTTCTATTTTAGACACCCTGGGTTTGAGATGTCCACAGGACTTCAAGTGGAGGTGTCCAGCCAGGTAGATGAAGTGTGGCAACATGTCAGAGCTGGGAAAAGGATTTGGGAGAGCTGGCTGGATGTGGTATCTCATGCCTGTAATCCCAGCACTTTGGGAAGCTGAGGCGAGTGGATCACCTGAGGTTAGGAGTTAGAGACCAGCCTGGCCAACATGATGAAACCCTGTCTCTACTAAAAATACAGTAATTAGCTGAGCAGGGTGGTGTGCGCCTGTAATCCCAGCTACTTGGGAGGCTGAGGCAGAAGAATCACTTGAACCCAAGAGGTGGAGGTTTCAGTGAGCCGAGATCATGCTATTGCACTCCAGTCTGGGCAACAAGAGTGAAACTCAGTCTCAAAATAAATACATACATAAATAAATAAAAATTTAAAAAAGAATTTGGGAAAGCTGCAGAGATGAGGAGAGAACAGAGCCAAAAATGGACTCAAGAAAGAAGCAACAAAAGGGAAGTTAAGCAAAAAAGGAGAAAAGAGTGCAGGCGGGGCCATGGGAGGGGCCACATTTCTGAGCTGACGTGCTGAAGAGCTTAGCACTCAGTAAGAGCTAGGCACTCCCAGTAGTATTATTGATTGTATTATCACTGCCTTCAGATGTGCTCATATGGGCTTACTTAAATGCATGGTATGTCATGGCTGCAAATAAAAATTTGTTTCAATTAGTTAGTGGACATTCTTCACACCATTTTACAGATGAGATCATTGAGGCTGAGAAAGGGGAAGCATCTTCATTTCTGTCCTGCCTGATTGCAGAGCCCACATTCTTTGATTCCAGCAGGTGGTCAAATGTCACAGAGAGTGTCAGGAGGGATGTTGACAGGACAGAGGCCCACAGGGAGGTTGGAGAGAAAAAGTGGATCTCATGACAGAGAGGGACTGGTCCTCGCTGAGTGAGCTACAGAACAGAGCAGGAAGTTGGGGAGAGGCCAGGCTTCCAGAGGGGATGGAGAGAAGAGTGGGACAGCAGCTGCCACATTTGTAGGCAGAACTTCCAAGACAGTCTATGATGAGAGGGAGAAATGGAGTGAAGGAGGGCTGGAGACACTGTAGGAGATACAGGGCAGAAACGGGGGAAAGGAGGGAATTACCAGAGGGTGTGGGAACCCAGAAGTGGAATCAGGCTCATTCAGGACCATCTTTTTTTCCATCACACACAGCCATCTTTCCCTCCATCACACACAGGAAGGACCAAATAACAGACATGCAGAAACAGGGAAGTGGGGGCTGGTGGTTTCCTGCTGATGCTTATGGCAAGGATCATCAGTCATCCCCCACACTCTGTCTCCCTTTCTCTTGAATAATATTCTCTTTATTTTTATCTGAGCACATGGGTGGCCTGCAGAATATTACATTTCCCAGCCTCCCTTGCAGCTGGACATGGCCATGTGGCTGTGGGCTGACCAGTCCCATTCACTGGAATATGATGTGTTTGGAACTCTCTTGGGCCATCCCCTAGAAGCCATGGAGACATTCCACCAAGCTGTATAGCTTACACCTGGGCTGCCCTGGGAGGCAAATGCAGCCGCACTTTATTTTATTTATTTATTTATTTATTTATTTATTTATTTATTTATTTGAGATAGAGTTTCACTCTTGTCACCCAGGCTGGAGGGCAGCGGCATGATCGCGGCTCACTGCAACCTCTGCCTTCTAGGTTCAAGCGATTCTCCTGCCTCAGTCTCCCGTGTAGCTGGGATCACAGGCGTGCCCCACCACGCCTAGCTAATGTTTTTGTAGTTTTAGTGGAGACGGGGTTTCACCATGTTGGCCAGGGTGGTCTTGAACTCCTGACCTCAAGTGATCTGCCCACCTTGGTAGGTCCCTGTTCTTACACAGAATCCACCCACCCAAGTGAGTGTGCCCTCCCACTCTCCCTGCAGCCGGTTACTCCTCTTCCTTTGTGGCATTTTCCACAACTGGTTCATCCCTCCAGCCCCTGTCCAACCAGACGGTCAACTGCAGCAGGGCAAGAACATAGCCGATCTCACAGCTCAACACCCGCAGCCAGCCAGATGCCCAGTGTGTGCAGACAAGTTCTCTGCTTTGGGGGGCTCAATCGTCATCACAACAAACAAACAAGGCTAGTTCAGATCATGGGAAACAGTTCAAAGGAGAGGAAGCAAAGCTAAGAGGGCTAAGCCAAGCGTAGTGGTGAAGGATGGGAGTTTCCATCGCATGGTCAGGGAAGGCCTCTTTGAGGAGGTGACATTTGAACTGAAGCCTGGAATGAGCTAACCATGGGAGACTGGGAGTGTTCCATCCAGAGGAGACAGCAAGTGCAAAGGCCCTGAGAAGGTGATAAGTAGATGTGTTTGAAAAATGGGAAGGTGACCAGTGTGGCTTGGGGCAGAGATGTAGAGAAACGGTTAGGTGGGCTGCCTGTGGGCCTTGCAGGGGTGCTGTTTAGCCTGAGAACAGCAGGCAGCCATGGTCAGGTTTTCCTTAAAACCCAACCCCTTTGGCTCCTTGGGAGGGAGGAGGGGTAGACTGCAAGGGCAAAACAAGAGGACAGCTTGGGGGGCCTTTACACGAGTACAAACAGAGATGCAGGAGGCTGCGGCAGACCTGGCAGTCACAGAGGCAAGGGTTGGAGAGCTATTTTGCAGGTAGAATGGACTAGGCTTGGCAGTTATCTTGGCAGACCTGGAAACAAGAATTCCCGTCCAAATAGATTCCCTGGAAGCCAGTCCCAAAGAAGCAAGCACAGGTGTGATAAGGATCAAGTTGGCAACTGGGCATCCCTCCCACTGGGAACTCTGGCAACAGAACTGTCCCACCCAAGGGGCGAGGGGACTGAAATGTTTTTCCACCAACTCCCATCCTCATCCACTCAGGGGTGCTCCTGGGGGGCATTAACTCATCAGCACTCAGCCTGCCCCCGAGTCAGCAAGCACCTGGATGGTGAATGCAATCCTGGTGTGGGCAGGGCACCCACTGAGGGAATGAGAGGAGAGCCACGAGCCAGGGACCTGGGCCTGGATAACTTTGCCCAGGACATCCCAGGAGCTGAATGATCAGAAGTTTCAAGGGGCTGCAGGGAGGCAGTGAGGACCCCTAGATGGGGACTGGTCCTAGGAATAAGGGGCTGAGGAAGGCCAGAAGGTGGGTGCCCACCACTTCTTCCTCAGTCTGATTTTGGCTGAGCCCTCCAGGAAGGAGGTGGCTGAGGACTTCGTGGGCCAGGGGGAGGCCATGGATGCTGAGGGCTGGGAGTTCTTGGGCCCAGAGGCAGAGGCCAGGGAAGACAGCAGGGAACTCAAGGAGCAGGGGGAGCTGGAGGCAGCCAGATCTGTGTCCTTTCAGAGTGACCTGGAGCAAGTCACTGAACCTCTCTGGGACCTCTATTTTCCCCACCTGTGAAATGGGTTCTTGTAAGAATTAAGGGAGAGAGCATGAAGGACCCAGAACTCCAGCCTTTCTAATGCCAGGGTCTGATCTCATCCCTTCCCTGTCTAATGTCACTCGGTGGTTGCCTGTGGCTTGTGAAGGTTGGAACACCTCCCCCAGCCTTCTCCCGTTCCAGTAAGCAGGGCTTGCAGGGCCCCTGCCCACCAGTCCTGGCCCTGCATCCCCCTCCCCACCCACCTCTGCTTCTCTTCTCAGTGCTTCTCAAAAGTGGCAGCTCCTGCTTCCTCTCCTTTACCCCTCTGCTCGCCTCTCCTTCCCATCTCCTTGGGAATACATGCAGGCGAGTCACTGTGCTCCCACTCCTGCCCTGCTTCCCTCCTACACATACCCTTGCTCCCTCCACTCCCTCCCTCCCTCTGCCTCCCTCGTTAGCCCATGGAGAGGCCTCTGGGCCTCTGCATTTACTGCCCCTCCACCTGGAATGCCCTCCCCAGACCTCCACAGGACTCGTTCCCCCACTTTATCCAAATCTCTGCTCACCTTGCAGAGAAGCCTCCCCTGACCATGTCTGTCATTCTCTATCCCCTCCCCTGGCTTTGGTTTTCATCGCGGCACTCACCATCACCACCATCATGTTATCTAAGTGTGTGTGTCTTCATTGTTCCTGTCTCCCCGGCTAGGCTGCAAGCTCCAGGAAGGCCAGATGTGGACCTGTGGTGGTGGTGGCTGAATCCTCAGCCTTGGGCCAGTGCTCAGTAGATACTTGTTGAATGAATGAATGTTTAACTCCTGTGAACCCTTCTCTGGCCTTGCCCCTAGGCTCCCACAGCTCCTCCCCTGTGCCTGGATTTTAGAACTTACTTGACCTTGTCATCATTGCCTTCTTTCCTTCTCAGTCTCCCACCAGGCGATGAGGGCCTTGATAGAAGCTACTGTGTCTTCGGTTCTCACTGCTCTCTGGCACACAGTTAGTGCTTAGTAATGAAAAAAGAATCAATCAATTCACAACCTGCAAGTAGTAGGTATGCATGAAATATTTTTGAGCAGATAGTAGTAGCTGACACTTGGCACTGACTATGCACTAGGCACAGTTCTAAGTGCTTTGCATGCAGTCATGCATTCGATCCTCACAACAACTCAGTTACTATCCCCATTTTATGGATGAGAAAACCAAAGGTCAGAGAGGCTCAGCAACTTGCCGGAGGTCACATAAGTAGTAAGTGGCACAACTGGGGCTTGAATCCAGGTTGTCTGACTCAGGCTTCCCTGTACCACCAGGTTCTACAGCCTCTGGGCTGGCAAACCATGAATACAAATAATAATGATGGCATCAACTACTATTACTTGTACACCTCAGTGTCAGGCCTTGTGCTGGGTGCTTTGCAGCCACCTTGTCTTTTAATTTCAAGAGTCCTCCTTGGGCAGGTGTTATTGAATCCATTTCACAGATGAAAAAAGTGAGGCCCAGAATTAAGGGCACACAGAGAAAAATAGGCTCCGGGTCCTAACTCCCTCCAGAGTGGGACATTTAGAGGCCTGACCTTGGCTTTTCTCATCCACTGTCCTGGGTCCAGCTCCCAATCCCTATCTCCCCCAGCCCATTACCACCTTTGTGTAGACTGAGACCCAAGGCTGGCCCCCACCCTGCTGTCCCCCAGCCCACCAGAGAACTGCTGTCCCTTCATTATGAAAAATCTCTCTTTGTCCTTCCCTTCTCTTCCCCAGCCAATTACCAAGAAATTAACTTGATTGTGAACATATTTTGAAAATATTTTCACTGTTGTTTTTAAAATTTTTCCTTTGTTTGAAATAGTGTTACAACTTCAACCACAGGAAGAAGAAAAACCCTATCCCAGCTGACCAAAGCTGTGAATATAAAACCAGAAATGACTGTATTAAATAATCAAAACCGAAAACCACCTAAACAATAGAACTCCTCAGAGTTCTGGCGTCAGGAGGACTGGGGTCTTTGAGGCTGTCCCAGCTGGGGTGGAGTTGGAGGAAGTTGCAAACACAGGAGATGAGATGAGGGTCTTGCTTCCTGTGGTGGATTGTAAATTCTGCTCTGGTGCCTGGGCCTTCTCCAAAGGGTGCTGAGCACTTTCTTCCCTACTCTGTTTTTCAGGTAGATGGACCAAAGCCTGGGGAAGATGGGCAATTGGATTTATACAAAAGATTCAAGATGGGGTTAGAGATGGAGTTCCAAGTTAGAGGCTCCCACTGGGGGCTCAGTCTGGGGCCAGAGTTAGGGCACAGTGTGGAATCACGATCATGAGTCAATATGGGACCTGGATTAGGACTCAGCCTATAACAAAGATCAGGAATCAGTCTGAGGCTGGAGTCAGGGCCTAGTGTGAAGCGAGATTCAGAGTTCTGACTCAAACCGATACTGAGGCTTAATCTGGGCTTCAGTCTGTGGTCAAGCATGGGGTCAGAGCCCCACCTGAGACCAGGGTTATGTTGTGGTCTAGGATGAGGTTCAAGCTTCAGTGTGCGATGCAGGATCAGGAGGGCTCTGACCTGCTTTCAGTGTGTGACAAGAATCAAGATGCGTCCCGGATCCTCAAGCTACAGAAATGGGGTCCTGGCTCTACCCCTTCTTGAGATCATGAGCAAGTCAATTCACCTACTGGGCCTCAGTTTCCTCTTCTGTAAACTAGGGGTAATGGGGATAATCACAACCTCTGTCCTAACTCCTTCCATGGCTTAAATGTTGATCCAAATGAGATAGCAGATGTAGCAAGCTTTGCAAACTGCAGAGTGTTGGACAGGCATTTATGTAAACACCCTGAAGGAAACTCCAGAGAAAGCTTATTGTGGGAAAATCAAAATGTCACTAGGCCTCCTGCTGTAGCTTCCATCCTAGTTTTTCTTCCTCCTGGACGACTAATAATAGCTAACAGTTATACAGCATGGTCTTGTGCCATGTCCTAAGAACTTCATGTATATTTAACTAATTTAATCCACAAACAATCCTATGAAGTAGGTACTACTATTATCAGCATTATCAGTTGGGGAAACTGAGGCAGAGATAGATTAAGTAACTTGCTTGAAGTCACACTGAATAAGTGGAAATCTCTGATTCAAATCCAGGCAGTTTGGCTCCCAAGTCTATGCTGAGTGTAGGAGCTGGGGGATGAGGGATGAGTCTGGGGGATTCTTCATGGAGCAGACAGATACGGTTGAGAAGTACAAGTCAGCCCCAAAGACCTAGGGGTGACTTGTGGCCCCCAGCAGCCTGCCTTTGCCCAGGAGGCCAAATCTCCCGGCAGACCCCACTGCCACATGGGGACATAAAAGTTTGGGATTGGCGGGTGGCATCAGGCATCTCTTTAAACTTGTTTGTTTATGGAAAGAAATTTCAGGCCAGCTGCTGAAAACCTGTATTTTATGGGTAATTTTTCAATTTATTTCACACTGGTATTATAAAAAACAACAACCCAACTGACTGTGGAGGCTGGGATTCCACTGGGGTTGGTGAGGGAGGGGCGCTGGCTTGAAGCAGCTCCTTTGTCTGCCTGAGCATCCTACAGGGAGAAGGCTGTTTGCCTTCCCTTGGGAAAGAACAGGTAAAACAAAGAACAAAGGTGGGTTTGCAGAGATTTTGATTTAAGAGGAGAACAAGAAGAAGTCCAGAGGAAGAGGGTGAGGGGTTCGATGCCTCTGTCTTATACATAACAAAACTGAGGCACCAATCATGAAAGTTACCAGTGAGAACTTACTCTGGGTTAGGTGCTGTTCCATGTTTTACCTGTAATACCTTATAGGTTGTCATGAGAATTAGTAAGAATTAGTCTTGGTTTGGGGTTGCCAGAAGCCAACCCTGAGACAAGGATTTGAGTTCAAGAAATTGATTTGAGAATTGATCCCAAGAAGCATAGCATGGAGCATAAGGAGTGAAACAGGAAGGGCAGGCAGCCCATGAAGGACAGGTTACCCAGACAGCACCGTGGGCAACTGAAGCTCAGTCCCTCTGAAGTCAGCATGGCAGGGCTGGGGAATTGTGGCAGGAGACAGCGTGGCATGTTTTATGTGTCCGGCCATCCTGCCCATTCAATAGAGAGTTGGGGTATTTGTCCATCACTGAACTTCTCCACTGTACTAATGAGTCCATTAGCAAAGTTTTTTCCCCCAGTTATGGTATTTTTCATTTCTAAAATTTCTGTTTGATCCTTTTATATAACTTCCATTTCTTTGCTGAGATTTTCTGTTTTCATTTGTTTCAAGAGATTTCATAATTCCTTGCCAAAGCATTTTTATGATGACTGCTTTAAAATCCTTGTCAGACAATTTCAACATCTGAGTCATTTTAGTATTAGCATCAGTTGGAACTTCAGGTCTTATTTCATACTTTAGTTTAGCAGGCAGCAGTTTCCCTGTTTAAATGTAGCATGTGAGTTCTCGTTTACTTTTGTGGGCTTTAGGTCCAATGACAGTAAACTTGTTGGAACCCTTGCAATTATTTATTTATTTTTTTTTTTTGAGAGGAGTCTTGCTCTTGTCACCCAGACTGGAGTGCAATGGCACGATCTTGGCTCACTGCAACCTCTGCCTCCAGGGCTCAAGTGATTCTCCTGCCTCAGCCTCCCAAGTAGCTGGGATTACTGGCATGCACCACCACACGTGGCTAATTTTTGTATTTTTAATAGAGATGGGGTTTCACCATGTTGGCCAGGCTGGTCTCGAACTCCTGACCTCAAGTGATCCGCCCACCTCAGCCTCCCAAAATGCTGGGATTACAGGCATAGGCCACCGCACTTGGCCTGGAACCCTTGCAATTCTATTCTAGTAAGCCTTGTTCTTCTGGTGCTACTGGGGCTGGCATTACCCTGCTACCAAAACCAGACAAAGACAGAACAAAAAAGAGAAATATAGACCAATATTCTTAATGGATTTAGACACAAAAATCCTCAGCAAAATATTAGTAGGTAGAATTCAGCAGTATATAATGGAGAATGGTACACCATGGCCAAGTGGGGCTTATTCCATTGAAGAAAGGTTGGTTTTATACTTAAAAATCAATCAATGTAATACATCGTATCAGTAGACTAAAGAATAAACATTAAATGATTATACCAATGTGCAGGAAAAACATTTGACAAAATTCAACAGCCATTCATAATTTTAAAAAATGCTCAGAAAAGTAGCAATAGAGAGGATCTTCCTCAAGGTGATATAGAGTGTCTACAAAAGTCCTACAGTCTAATGTCATAGTGAATGACTGAATGCTTTCCCACTAAGATTGGGAACCAGGCAAGATTGAGAACAAGGATGTCTATGCTCATCACACTTACTCGGCATATGGCTGGAAGTTCTAGCAAGTTTGATAAAGCAGGTAAAGGAAACAAAAGGCACAAGATCAGAAGGAAAGAAAACTGTCGCTATTTGCAGTTGATATGATTGTCAATGTTGCAAAACCCAAAAAAATCTACAAAAATACTCCTAGAACTAATATATGAGTTCAGCAAGGTGCTAGGATACAAGATCAACACACGAACATCAGTTGTATTTCTATCTGCTAGCAATGAACACACGGACAGCAAAATTTAAAATAGAATACCATGTATAATTTCTAAGGGAGAAAAAAGGAAATAGGTATAAATCTAACAAAACATGCACAGGAGTTGTATGCTGAAAATGACAAAACATTTATTTAAAAAAGTCAAAGAAGATCTAAACAAATGGAGAGACATACTATGTTTTTGGATTGAAAGACTCAATATAGTAAAGATGTGAATTCTTCCCAAATTCATATACATGTTTAATGCAATTCTAATCAAACTCACAGCAAGATTCTTGGTAGATATAAACAAGATTATTCTAAAATATATATGAAAAGGCAGAGGAACTAGAATAGCTAAAATAATTTTGAAAAAGAAGAATAAAGTGGGAAGGATCCATCTACCCAATTTCAAGATTTATTATATAGTTACAGTAATCAGTACAGTGTAGTATTGGTAGACAGAAAGACACATAGCCCATGGAATACAGGAGACAGCCCCAAAATAAATCCATGCCAATATGCCCAATTAATTTTTGATAAAGCTTTTACATCAAAGCATACTGGAGCAATTGGACATCCGCAGACGAAAAATAAAAAATGAACCTCGAAATAAACAAAAATTAAAAACGAACATAAAAATAAACAAACAAAAACATAAAAAAATAAACAAAAATACAAAATGAACCTTGACATAAATCTCACGCTTTGCAAATCACGTAACCAACAAAGAACTTCTATATAGAATATATACATAGAACTCTTAAAACACAATAGTAATGTAAAAATCCAATTTAAAATGTGTGAAAGATATGCACAGACATTTCACCAAAGAGGATACACAGAAACCTATACACAAGTGAGCATGGCACCTTTATTCTTAATAATGAAAAACTAGAAAATACCCAAATGTCCTTCAGTGGGTGAATGGTTAAACAAACTATATTACATTCATACGGTGGAATACTACTCAGCAGTAAAAAGCAAATAACTAATACATGCAAAACTAAAATGAATCTCCAAACAAATTGTGCTGAGTGAAGAAAGCCAAATCTCAAAAAGATGCATACTGCATGACTCCATTATACAATATTTATGTAAAAACAGTTATAGAGATGGGAGGCCAGGCGTGGTGATTCACACCTATAATCCCAGCACTTTGGGAAGCCGAGGTGGAAGAATCACTTGAGCCCAGGAGTTCAAGACCAGCCTGGGAAATATGGCGAAACCTCACCTCTGCAAAAAATAAAAAATTAGCCAGCCATGGTGGCATGCACCTGTAGTCCAGGCTACACAGCTGAGGCAGGAGAAGCTTTAGCCCAGGAGGTCAAGGCTGCAGTGAGCCATGATCGTGCCACTGCACTTCAGCCTGGGTGACACAGCAAGACCCTGTCTCAAAAAATAAAACATTACAGAGATGGAGAACAGATTAGCGGTTGCTAGGGATTAGGACTGGAAGTGGAGAGGGAGGGTGGAGCCATAAATGGATACCATGAAGGAGTCTTGTGATGATGTTTTAGTATCTTGTTTAAGTATGTTTAAATATCTTGATTGTGGTTGTATTATACAAGGCTACACACAGGTCAACGTTGCATCCTAGGAAGCCCCTCAATCCCTGGCAAACCAGACAGCTGGTCACCCTAGCAGATGGCCCCCTAGTAGGGGCCATCACGTAGCCCTTGCATCTCTGAGGAGAAATTTGGTCTTCACCCGATGAATAATACATGTCCTCTGGCTGCTTAAGAAGAGCTTGTAGGGGTCAGAGCAGACACAGGAAGGAGCTACTGCATGACTGGGGCAAGAAATGAGGGTGGCCCAACGTTGGTCAATGGGCCAGATGTTCACCAAATTCTTGCTTTTCCTCCTGTGTGTTGTCTGGCACATGGCTGGACTACATTTCCCAGTCACCCTTGCAGGTAGGTGTGGCCGTGTGTCTGAGTTCTGGCCAATGGGACATAGGTAGACAGGCTCTGTACTTCCCATAAGCCCTGCCCTTCTCGGTGAGCTTTAAACCAGGTACTGAACAGGGCAGAACACAAGCTGAAAGGAATCTGAGTTCCTGCTATCCCACAGAGAAGGATCTGCTGATCAGGAACACATGCTGTGAGCTTAGTGTGTTTCAGCCATTATACCTGTCTTCATCTATTTGTGACAATGGTGCCTTAACTGACACCCTTGGGTGCACCCCTCCCCGCCCCCCGCCAGAGCATGCCATCAGCATCACTAGCCTCCCTGGGCACCTGTATTGGGGTAGGGGAACTGGATAACAGGCCAAGATGCCCAGACAGCCCCCATAGTTAGAGAACCAAACACCCTCTGAGCATCTTGGGGTATGAAGGGCCCTGAGTTCTGGGCCTTAGAACCCTAGAAATATCCAATTCTGGAAGCACTAAAGGGGCTCTCACAGAACACAAAATCCCATCTGTGCCATTGAACAACTGGGGAAATTGAGCCTAAGAGAACAGAAAGTACTTGAGGTCCCACAATGAATCTATGGATGAATGAGTGCTTATTCATTCACTCATTTTTTAAAAAAATCCATTCCACAAGTATGTCTTAATCACTGCAGTGTAAGGCACATAGGGACAAAATAGAAGATTCCTGTCCTCATGGAACTCACAAACAAGCAAACAGGAACTGACAGACATGAACAGGTACTACGGAGGGTAAAGCAAGACAAGAGGATAAAGTGCATGGTGGTGCGTTTTACTGGAGTGGTCACAGGGGGCCTCTCTGAGGAGGCAACATCGAGGGGAGACAAGCCCCAAATCTGGGGAAAGACTTTCCAGGCAGAGAGAACAGCAAAAACCGCAGGATGAGTGACAAGAGTCTGAGAAACACGAGGCTAGCTAGAGCAGAGGCAGTGGGGAATAAATAGGGGAAAAAATTCAAGAAGGGGTAAGCAGCTTCATCCTGCAGAGCCGTGTGGCTGGCTGTCAATTCACAATGCACATTGGACCTCTCTGGCCCTGCTCACATGGAAGCTGTCCCCTTTGGACTTTGGAGACTCCAGTACTGGGGGTAGTGGGGAAGGGAATGACCTCCGCTTTCCTAAGGCTTGATCTTCTGGGGTCACCTCATTTCTCCAAGTACCTGCATTCCATGTACAGGCTGGGAGACTTGTGCATCTGGAGAATTCATTCATTCACCATTCATTTATTTATGCACTCATTATGCAAACATTCTGAGCACCGCTGTGTGTCTGGCTCTGGCTTGAAAGAGATGGCAGTTTGGAAGGAGAACAGACACATCCATTGTTACCACCTGATGTGATCAGAGCTGTGATAAAGAGATTGTGGATGCCCAGAGGAGGCACTGGACCTGGCCTGAGAATCAGGGAAGGCTTCCTGGAGCAGAGGCAGTGAAGAAGGAGGTAGGATATAGGATGGTATTCCATGGAGAGGCCCCACAACATGAAAAGCTCAGAGGTGTGAGAGGCCTGTGGTGTTTGTGAAATATTCAAGGGCTGAAATCTCTAAGGCTAAAGAGAGAGGGGTGGGGCAGTGGGAAAGACTGAGATCAGAGATATCAGAACAAGAGGTCCTTGCAGGCCATGGTGATGACCACAATGGGACACCTGGATGCCCATGTCAGCTCAGTCCTTGACTCACTGGGTGGCCTAATCTAGGCACCCCCCAGTCCTGAAGGCTCAGTGGCCTCATCTGTGAAATGGAGCACTTTGGGTGGGCTGTCTCTGACATTCCACCAAGTTCTCCGTGTTGTCTGCCAGCGTTCTTGGGGCCCCACAGAAAGAATGGCCAGGCCAGGGCTGTACCTTCAGCTGCCACACTCTCTGTGTGTTTCCCCTGCCCCTGCCATGCCTTCAAGTGTCCCTCATTGCACTGGGAGAAGGAGCTGGAGGAGATACCAGCATTTACCTTCCATTTCTTTTGGAGCAAGCTCCACATGTAGGAAAAAAGAGGACAGGCTGGGTGGGGTGGCTCACGTCTGTAGTCCCAGCACTTTGGGAGGCTGAGGCAGGTGGATCACTTGAGGTCAGGAGTTCAAGACCAGCCTGGCCAACATGGTGAAACCCCGTCTCTACTAAAAACTACAAAAATTAGCTGGGTGTGGTGGCAGGTGCCTGTAATCCCAGCTACTTGGGAGGCTGAGGCAGGAGAATCACTTGAACCCAGGAGGCAGAGGTTGCAGTGAGCCGAGATGGCGCCATTGCACTCCAGCCTGGGTGACAGAGTGAAAACCCATCTCAAAAAAAAGAAAAAAAAAAGAAAAGAAAAAGGAAGGACAATTGTTCAGCAAGAGAGTGTCAACTGTAAGTTTCTCTAGGCCTCCCTCCAAGGCCTCTTCCATTCTGATGAGTCTGTGCCTGAGAAGTGGCTAAGAGGGGCAGGCACTGGACCAGAATGGCCACTGACCTGCTGTGTGGCCTTGGGCAAGTCACTTGGCCTCTCTGAGCTTCCCTTTGCTCCCCAGAAAAGTGGAATTACTCAGAATACAAACCCAAACCATTGGGTTGTTTTGAAGACTCTAGTATATGTCAAGTTCTTAGCAATGCCCACCATATATGCCTCACAAATGATAGCTAGCATGATTGTTGTTGTTTTTGGTGGTTATAGTGACAGGAGAGGTGAGCATGCTGTCGGGTTGAAGGAGGAATTTTGCTCTGAAAGGGTTAAACTTGAACCAGCTGCTCCCAGTCCTGGTGATAAGGTTGGAGGAAACACAGTCCAGGTCCCCAGCCCTGTCACAAGTGGATTTATGAGGTGCTGGTCACTTTGAGTCGGAGTAGATGATCCCCGCAGACTGCACAGGAAACATTCAGGGTTAGTGGCCAGAAGGGGCTCAGGCCTCTGTTAAAAGAATGAGACAGAGTAGAGAGAAAAAGAGAAAGCCAGGCAGCAGGAGCCCCGCAAACACCCCACCCTGCAGGAGGGGAGAAGGGGAGAGATGGGGTTGAAGGGAGAGACAGAGAAAAGGGAGAACCAGAGGCCCAGCCAGGAGGACACAGACAGTGAGCCTGAGAGAGAGACGGCCGGCAAGAGTAAAGGATGCAGGAACAGCCAGGCAGGGTCGGGGGCAGAGCAGGGGAGCGCGGGCCGCGGAAAGACCGAGAAAGCAGGAGACAAGGAGTTGTCCTTAAGGGCCAGAAGGAGGAACAGACAGAGAAAGGGGACTGGGGGGAGGGAAAGAAAATCACAGGCGCTGAGAGGGCGCGGGGGACCGTACGGGTCTCCGGGTGTCCGCGCATCTGTACCTGCGCGCGCGTGCGTACCTGTGGCTGGCGGTGGGCACGTGCACGTGCTCGGGGGCAGTGCTGGGGGCGGGAAAGACGCAAGACCGCCGGCTGCGGGACAGATCGAACTCGAGGGCCCCGACCCGGGTGACCCCCGCCCCCTCCCCGCGCGCGCTCCCGGGCCCCGAGCTGGTTAACGCGCCGCCCCCGCCGCGCCGGCTCCTCCCCGCCAGGGCAGTGCCCCGGCTCCGCCAACGCCCTCACTAGACCTGGCGGCCGGACCGACCCGCGCCTGGCGGATGCGCCCGGCGCGCCCACAGCAGCCCCCGCGCCCGCCGTGCCGCCGCCGGGACGTGGGGCCCTTGGGCCGTCGGGCCGCCTGGGGAGCGCCAGCCCGGATCCGGCTGCCCAGATGCGGGCGCCACTCTGCCTGCTCCTGCTCGTCGCCCACGCCGTGGACATGCTCGCCCTGAACCGAAGGAAGAAGCAAGGTACAAGGGGTGGCTGGGCAGGGCGGCCGGGCAGGCGCTGCGGGGCAGACCGGGGGCCGGAGGACCGGGGGCGGCGGCTCTGGGGGCATCTGCCTGGTGCCTGGCGCCCTGGGTCCTTCGCTCCTCCAGACGAGTCTCAACCTCACTTAAGATGGGGAGATTGAGGCTCCAGGGCACCCAGTGAGCGAGCCATTGAGTAGGGTGGGCCAAGGAGACTCACCCAGAAGGGAGAGGGTAGCAGGGCTCTCTGTAGTAGCCGCATGGTCAGCAGAAAGGAGGATGGCTTCGTGCAGAGACAGAAGACTCAAGAGCCAGCCTGCGGGGCACAGGGACTAGGAGACAGACTCAGTGGCGTAGAAGCCATTCCAAGCATCCATGCTCGGCCAGGAAGTGACATAGAGAGCCTTGGGCTGGGCGTCCAGAGGCCCCAGTCCCAGCCTCATCACTCACCCTGACTCCTGGTGTCACCTCCCAGAGGGCAGTGATCCTCCATGGCCCCCCTATGTTGAGTTCAGCCAGACCTGAGACCTGAGTTCAGGTTCACTTATTCTAATAGGGGATGACCTAGAAGAAGTCCAGCCCCTCAGAGAGCCTCAGCTTTTCCATCTTCACCTCTCAGGCCACTAGGAAGATGAGCCAAGGTTCAGATTATAAATGTACCAGGGGCCGCATGCGCTCTCACCTGGGAGTCCTATGCCACAGCCTCGCTGTGAGAGTCAGAACATCCTCAGAAGGTGGGTTGGAGGCTGTCCCTGCAGAGCAGGAGTTGGTAGAGCCTGTGCCTCAGAGAAGGGTAAGCGGGTGAGCAAGTGAGCAAATCGCCTGCCTGAGCTGGGCAGCCCTTTGGCCTCCAGGTGCCACTCTTAAGATCAGCAGCCGAATGCCAGCCACTATGCCACGGGTTTTTCATGTCCTAGCTCATCAAATCCCAACTATATGCTCATGACATAGGGGTCGTCCAGTTTTAATAAAGCCTGGGATTCCAAGGCTCAGACTGGTTTAAATAACTGCTGAATTGTCCAGCTGGTGTCTTCTCTCTTTCCAGCCCTGGCATCGGGTCTGAGCAAGGATAAAGGGGAAGGAAAATGAGAGAGGATGGGTTGCCCTCTGGGGCCTTCCATTTGTGTGAAAGCCCTACAGCGACACAGTCACTCCTGGAACGGAGCAGGAAGCAGACAGAGGCTGTGGGAGAATTGGGAGGTGGGATTGGATGGGGTTGGGGAGACTGTGGCCCAAGAGGCTCCAGTTCTTGCTGTGACAGTGGGACAAGGGACTAGAGAGGCGTGTGGTTTTCAGCTGAGCTGGGGTGAGTTTGGGACTCTATGGGGACACTCCTTTGTGAATGGCCTTTGTTTAGTAGTTAGGGGCATGGGCTCTGGAGCCAGGTCAACTGAGTTCAAATCCCAGCTTCCCCAGTTACCAACTGAGTGACTTTGGATAAGTCACTTTGCCTGTCCAATCCTCACTTTACCCATCTGAGGGTCCTTTAGAAGATCTCTGAGATCTTTCTCCATTCTAAACAATACCAAAAAATCAAACAAACCCCCTTTCCCTTCATCAACCCATCTTTTACTTAAGTATCCTGCTCATAAGGAGGATTGTGGGCAAGATGAGTAGCTAAGGACACAGGCTCCTAATGGGTGCTCGTAAGTATTAATCATTCTCATTTCCTGTCCACTGTGTCTTTGGCTACTCACAGTGGCTTAGTGGAGGGAGGGGAGAGATGCTTGTTTTCTGGATGAGGGAACTGAGGTTCAGAGAAGGAAACTGACTTGTCCAAGGTCGCACAGCAGGTGAGTAGCAAAGCAGGCTCGAATCCCAATCTGCCTGACATAATGCTGAGAAGATATCTTCTGAGGTGTGCTGGTCTTCCCTTCTCAGAGCCTCAGTTTCCTCATCTAAAGAGGAGCTGGTTTAGGCCAGGTGTGGTGGCTCACGCCTGTAATACCAGCACTTTGGGAGGCCAAGGCAGGCGGATCATTTGAGATCAGGAGTTTGAGACCAGCCTGGCTAACATGATGAAACCCTGTCTTTACTAAAAATACAATGATTAGCTGGGTGTGGTGGCGGGCGCCTGTAATTCCAGCTACTTGGGAGGCTGAGGCAGGAGAGTCGCTTGAACCCAGGAGGCAGAGGTTGCAGTGAGCCGAGATCATGCCACTGCACTCCAGCCTGGGTGTCAGAGTGAGACTCTGTCTCAACAACAACAACAACAACAAAAAGGAGCTGGTTTAGAAGACTTTAAGATGCTTCTCAGCTCAAAAAAGACAAAAAAATTAAAGAAAAATGAAAAATTCCTATCCTGCCCCTTTTGCCCCCCGCCCCATCTACAGCTCACCACCACCTCCCCAGGAGCTCAGTGAGGAGGTAGGGATATGGCCGCAATTTGGTGAGGGGCTCTCAGCATCCCTCCTCCAGTACCTGATCTCTTGCCTCTGGGACACACACCTGCCTAGCATCTTCAGAAGAGGCTTAGGGCTCCATTTATTTGTTGGGGTACAATGGAGATAGCCTTGGATTTCAGTCACACCCCTGACCCAGTTGTATCATGTGACCTTGGGTGAGTGGATTTTCTCTGTCCCCCGCCCATAGCCTCAGTTTCCCACTGGCACTGCAGTGGGGACCAGAGCTAGATAAACCCTTCCTGTAGCATATTTTGCAAGGCAGCCACAGGAGTTCTGGTCAAATAGATTGGGAAATGCTGGGTTTAGCAGATTTCTTGGCTGTGAGACTTATCAGAGCATGCTGAAGAGGTGGAGACAGACAGTGTAACCCAGGTGCGATGGCTCAAGCCTATAATCCTGGCACTTTGGGAGGCCAAGATGGGAGGATAGCTTGAGCTCAGGAGTTCGAGACCAGCCTGGGCAACATGGCAAAACTCTACAAAAAATACATTTTTTGTCTCTATAAAAAAATACAAAAAATAGCCAGGCATGTTGGTGGTGGTGCACACCTGTAGTCCCAGCTACTTAGGAAGCCGAAGTGGGAGGATCGCTTCAGCCCAGGAAAGACATCAAGGCTGCAGTGAGCCGTGATTGTGCCACTGCACCCCAGCCTGGGCGACAGAGCAGACCCTGTCTCAAAAAAAAAAAAAAAAAAAGAGAGCGAGAGAGAGTGACCTTTCCCAAACATATTACACATCAGAGACCATTTCTCATAAGGCATCTGCTTGGAAAATTCTGTACACAATCCCTCAGGGTCCTACCAGCTTTGACCTTATCTAACTTTGGCAGGAGAATGTGTCCTGAAAACACCTGGGTATTGGCAGTGCTTCATTCATTCACTTGTTCATTTCACAGGGCAGCCTCTGTGCCAGGCTCTGTGTTGGGGACCTTGGAGATACCCAGGTGAGCAGCCCTGGGCCTGTCCTTGGGGAGCTGCCAACATAGAGGGATGACCCTTTCCCACCTTTCTCCAGCCTCCCCCATGCCTGAGTCTTTGGCCTTAGCGTTTGGCCAGGTCTGCACAATCCCGAGGAATGAGGTGCTGGGCTGGCATCTGCCCTCTCTGAGCCTGCTTGAGGCCTGGTTCCCACAGGCCCATCCTTCCTCAGGCTCCGGCGTCACTGCGTCTTAATGAAGCCCAATTTTTCTGTTTCTAAGAAAGAATGAAGTAAAAGACTTGAGAAAGATTCTTGGATCTCAAGTGTCTCTTACAAAACAGCATGTTGATTAATGAAGTGTAAATGAATCAGAACCAGATGGGGACATTTTTTTGAAACATGCTGGGGTGTCCTGGCAATGGGACAGTAGGGCAGAGTGAGGGGGCCCTGGTTCGCATCCCTAGATCTGGAGGTCCATTTGGGCAAGGAGGAGATGCCAGCCTGTGACTGACTTTCCCTGACATCCAAGGCCTTCTGGGGAGGGACCCCCACATTCACATGGAGCTTCTGGATCTTTCTAGACCTGAGCAAGCAAGGGGCAAAGTGAAGAGCCCTGGGATCAAACCTTGAGCCCTCTCCTGCCCTAGATATGTGACATTAAGCAGGCCACATGCCTTCTCCCGTCCGTGCTTCCCCATCTGTGAAATGGGAAAACTTACACCTACCTCTCTGAGCAATTGGGAAGATTTACTGCAGTCCAAGAGGGAAGGGGGCCAAAGGCACACAGTAGGGGCTTCATAAGGATTTGACCACTTTCCCTTCCCATTTTACAGCAGAGCAGACATGCCCTGGACCGGAAGGGAGTGGGGTCTCACGTGGGTTAAGCTCACCTCTGCCTCTTGCTTGTGGTGCATCCGGAGCAAACCTTCTCCTCTCTCTGAGCTTGTTTTTCTTTATTGTAAATTGACTGTGGCAGTGCCCACTCCAGAGGCCTGTTATGTGGAGTGAATATGATGCTTCCGTTTAAATTGCAAAGCCCCTTGTGGAGGGCCAGGCAGACAGCACTGTCTCCTGTACACAGACAGATGCACCAGGCCCTGGGCAAGCAGGCGCCATCGCTGGGCACGAACAAAGTATGTCCCCTGAGTGCTGGCATCCAGGTGAAGCCAGGTTTAGATGCAGGGGTAGTTCTGAAAGGGATTCCTACAGGGCAGGGGTGGGTAATGACTGGACATTGAGGGCTGAGGGAATGGCGCTGAGTCTTAATAGAATGTAACCTTGGGTCTCTCGGCTTCGGTTTCTTCATAGCATAGGGGCTGGTTGAGAAATGGAAATCTGAATGCTTGGCAGATAGTAGGTGGTCAATCAATTGAGCTCCATTTGCCATCCTTCTTCCACTCAGCGTTCTGAAGCCAAGCCTGGGTGCAAAAGAGATGCTGCTTTTCCATCCCATTGCCCCACCACGGGGGGCCCCACCTCCCTCTCCTGTGGACGGAAACCATCCAACCCCCCTGCCCAGCCACTGAAGGAGATTCAGGCCACTGAGATTGAGGCCACTGAGGAAGGAGGGAGGCGGGCCATGTGCCAGGAGCTGTGCAGGTGGGGCTGCGCGTCCTCACTCTGCCACTGCCTTGTGTTATGCCTATTTCCCAGACACGGGAACTGAGGCTCAGAAAGCATCAATGGCCTGCCAAAGAGCTCACAGCTGCTGAGCCAGGACCTGGACCCAGAGTTTTGGAGGCTCCGAAGCCCGTGCAATAGATATAGAAATGAATCATGCCAGTGATTTGCCAGGGCTGCAAGGTGTAAGTGTCTGAGAGGAACCCCATCGGGGGGAGTAGGATTTAGGATTTTGTCAGGCAGAGGTGGCAGTAAGGTGAGGACCTCTGCAGGATGAGGAGAGAGTGTGGCCAGGTGGAGGGGACAAGGGACTGCGTGGCCGAAGGAAGTGAAGTTCTGATTGCAGATTGGGCCAGAGTCCCGTCATGGAGGGCCTTGGGTGCCACTCTCCAGTCACCATCACCATGAAGAAATACTTATTGGGTCCTTCCTGTGGGCCAGGCCCTGGGCTGGGTATTGAAAAGGACAGCAGAGATGGGTGTTCCTCCATTTCTGCCGCCACAGGACTATTTTTGTATGGCCTTCAAGCTAAGAATACTGGAATAGGCAACAGATCGTATGTGGTGCAAAAAGCCTAAAGTATTTACTATTGGGCTCTTGAGATCCGTCAATGAGAACATCATGGACAAGACCTCTGAGGCTGCACCTCAACACACCCTTGAGAGCAGGCTGGTGGTGGTGGTCTCAGCCTCAGCCGAGGAATCCAAGACAAAGAGGGGAGGTTGCTTGGCTAAGGTGTCACATGGATACGGTTTGTTCATCCATCCTCCCATCTGGTGAAAAAACTGAAGCTCCCATTAGTTTAAAGTTTTCCAAGCTGAGGTTTACAATGCATCAGCAGGTGAGGACAATAAATTTAGCAATAGCCAGCATTTTCTAATGAAATGGAATGGAATGGTAACGGAATGGAATGGAACGGAACAGAACGGAATGGAATAGCACTGACTAAAATAGAGTGGGGTCAGCAAACATTTTTTGCGAAGGGTCAGATAGTAAATACTTTAGGCCTTGCAAACCACATACAATCTGTCATGTACTCCACTCTTCTTAGCTCACAGGCAACACAAAAACATCCAAATTTGGTCCAGAGGCTGCGATTTTTGCCAACCTCCTTTTTAGAATATATCAGAGTGCATTGCAAGTGTGAAAACTATTATTTTGAGAAATGTGTTTCAGTTTACACATATATGTGAATGGGTGTATGAGTGGGTGAGTGTGCATGCACATATATGTGGATGTATGTGAGTGTGTGCATGCATGTGCACGTGTGTACTACTGTGTCTACTGATACCATTGTCAAAATAGTGTGGAGGCTGCTGGACCAGCTGAGCCCATCTTCTGTGCTCAGCCCCTTTCAGTCATGGCCTAATGGAGGCCCTCCTGACAGCTGTAAGGGGCAGATTCCAGGAGGATCTTTATATTATAGATGAGGAGACTGAGGCCCAGTGGGTGGTATAGCAACAGACAGGGGTGCTGGGATGTAAGCCCAGAGAGTCTGTCTCTGGAGCTCCAAACAATTGCCTTAGTTCAGATGCTTGTTTCTAATCGCCCTGAATCTGACAGCTACATCATTCCCCAGGTGTGTGGATTTTAGCTCCTGGAAGGTGGAATGATGTGTCGGGGCCCTAAATCTCCTCCTGCATCAAACACCTCTGCTCGGCCAGGGCGTGGCAGACATTGCACGCTCCTTTCCTTTGGTCCTCACCCCAGTCCTGCCTGGTGGATATGCCTCTACCGCCAGCTTACAGAAGAGGGAAGTTGGTTCAGAGAGGGGAACTGGCTTATCCAAAGTAACGTCGCAAATACATGTGTGAGCTGGGTCTTCTTAATTCCAAAACCCACAGCAAATCCTGCCTACGGTAGACTTCTGAAAACCCATCTAATGCTGCCATTAACCACCTTCTTGTTTGTGTAGCACTTTATAGTTTGCAGAGCAATTCAGCTTTCATTTTCTCTCTGAAATTCTGGAGAAGGGTTCTAGAATAATGAAGTGATAAGGCCAAAAAGGCCAAGTGAGACCTTTGAGACCAATCCTTGTAAAATTGGAGACTCAAGCAGGGAAGTACCTTACTCAAGGTCACCCAGCTGTGAGTAGAAGTGAGGGTTCAGGAGACTAGCGGTGAAGGCAAAACTTGAATTGGTAGAGGAAGGCAGCCTGCTCCAGAGCCTGATAGGTTGAGAGCCTCTCAGAGCCTCAGTTTCCCCCCGCGTGACTTGGAAATGCTCAGTGTGCTTTGCCTTTTTTCCCAGGGCTGGGACAAATGTCAGAAGACAGGATGGAGCCAGGCGCAGTGGCTCACGCCTGTAATCCCAGCACTTTGGAAGGCTGAGGCAGGCAGATCACCTGAGGCCAGGAGTTCGAGACCAGCCTGGCCAACATGGTGAAACCCCATCTCTACTAAAAATACAAAAATTAGCTGGGTGTGTTAGTGCACACCTGTAATCCCAACTACCAACTACTCAGGAGGCTGAGGCATGAGAATCACTTGAACCTGGAAAGCAAAGGTTGCAGTGAGCTGAGATTGCACTGCTGCACTCTAGCCTGGGTGACAGAACAAGACTTCGTCTAAAAAAAAATTAAGACAGGATGGAAGCTGGAGGGCTTTCGCACATCCAAGGCTGTCTGCAGGAATTTCTTAATAATCAGAGGCCAGCCCAGGGCTGGGTGCCTCTTAAGGGCCTCTAGAGTTACCTAGGCAAGTGGAGCCTCTCCATAGGGTCTGAGGTTTGGCTGTGTGATTTTGTGAAAGAGACCAAGCCACGGGGCCATCATGGCCTCAAGGCTAGTCCTGTCCTCAGAGTCTTGGGCTATAGGCACCATCAGGACATAGAACAGCCCTGGGGGTGGACCCTGGGGAGCACACTCCTCACCTACATCTCTACACACATGTATGTTCCCCAAAACATATTTTTTCTTTAAAAATACTTAACTTTCATTGGCATCAAAGGTTTACAAAAGTCACTTTGGATTTTGTTTCGTGGTTGAGCATTTATGTGAGTAGACATGAGGGTGCAGGAGATGCCAGATGTTACCTGCATTCTTTTATGTAACAATTTCAGACACTGTTCTATGTACTTTGTATGTATTAATTGATTAAATTACCTTAATAAACCTGTGCAGTGGGCAGTAGCATTCCTATTTTACAGACAAGAAAACTGAGGCACAGGAAGGTTAAGTAACTTTGCCCAAGGCCACTCAGCCAAGGTTCAAATCCTTCCTTGCCCCAGAGCCCAGCTCTAACTACTGAACTTAATTGCCTCCCAGCCTTATTTCATCCTCACAGCACCCCTCTGAGGGGCCTGTTATTACCCACATTTTACAGAGGAGGAAGCAGTTAAAAGAGAGGCACATTCATTGAAGTATATGCAGTTGCCATTTTTCTAGGTCATAAACAGCCAAATATTAGCAATTTCATGTTTCTACCCCACAGCTTGGCAGAGTAAGTTTGGCAAAAACCAGGATTCCATCCAGACAATTGATTCCAAAGCCTGAGTCCATAACCACCATGCCAGCCCTCCTCCCAGGCTACCCACATTATAGCCCCATGAAGTGGCTTGACCCTATTATTCTCCCTCTTCTACAGATGAGGCCTTCCACATTCAGGGAGGGGAATCAACTTGCCAAGGACACACAGCCAGGCTGGGGAAAGGTCGTGATGTGCTCCCAGGTCTCTGTGGGCTGGAGCTTTTTTTCCTAGCCCGGTGGAACAGCAGCATCCAGGACACATTTGCCCTCAGCCCCGCCCTCGGAGATTCTTCCAGATCCCTTCGGGAATGGTCTGCTTCCCATCTCCGGATGGGTGACGCCAACTCCACCCGGACACTGCTGTCCCATGCTGGGCCGCCACTGCCTGCCCTGGAATGATTTCTTGCAGTAATGCAGCATGATTCATAGGGCCCTTGCTCTGTGGCCCATAGTGGGGGCTCTGATGTGCCATTGCGGAGGGGGTGGGAAATTCTGTTTCACCAGCTCAAAACAGAGGCATTCCCAAGCCCAGAGGACCCAGGCCACATGGGGAAACCACTCCCTTTCACTGGAAGCCTCCACTTTCCCTGGAGCCCGATGGCAGAGCCCACATCCGCCAGGGTGGAGACATGAAGAGAAGGAATGTCACAGTTGCCCTTCTGAGCCTGATCTGGGGTTGGCCAGTGGGCACAGCTGTCTCTAGCAAGTCCCGGATGAGCACTGGGGGCTTGGCAGGCTGTCACGAAGGCTGTGGGCTCTGCCACTTACTGGCTGAGTGACCTTGGGCAGGTCATCTCTCCCTTCTGTGCCCCCGTTGGCTAATTTGCAAAATGAGGCATGAAACATAGACAAACGCATTGCTGGTACATAGGGAGTGCTCATCAATGACGGTTAAAAGGGCCTGGTGCCACGCAGGGAGTGTGAGATTTGGGCTGTGGACAGTCCTGGGCTCAGCTCCCAGTTCTGTTACTGCCATGCTTGGGTGACAGTATTTGACTCCTGAATCTCGATGTTGTCTGTCAATACAATGGGGACAATAAGAGCATCTACCTCATATGGTTTTCAAGATGACTATGCATGTGACGCCCCTGGAAGACAGTCAGTGTTTCTTTAATGGTGATAACTGTCATGCGTCATGGGGGGAGAGGTTGGGCTCTTCCTAGTGTACAGAACGTTCGAGCCTGATGTCAGAGATGGCCCTGCCTCTGTTTGAAAGTGCTCAGCAGACCTAACTCATCCAAAGAAGGTCATTTTGAGCATGCCAGATTCAGAGGATAGGGTGGTCCTAAGTGCTGTGTGACTGTGGCACAGTGACCCACCCTCTCTGAGTCTCTGTTCACTCCTCTATGAAAGTGGACCTCAGAGCCTGGGCAACAAGAGCGAAACTCCGTCTCAAAAAAAAAAAAAAAAAAAAGAAAGTGGACCTCAGAGGACAGCAGTGAGGATGGGGCAGTGAGGATGGGATGATGTAACATGCATCCGTGTGCGTGTGCGTATGTTGCCAGCACATTACAAATGCATAAATGATGTGATGGCTATTTTGGGGGGAAGCCATGATGGGGCCTGACTTCCTGCCCTCTGCCCACAGCGGGCTGGAAAAACCGAATCAGATGCTGCCTGCGGGCATGCTTTTACTTCCTCGTCCCCTCTCACTCCCTACACCACCCCCGTCATTCACTTCCCCCGCCTCCCTGCAGGCATTTGAGCCAATCGGACTCCTTAATTCACAGCACATCATCAGCATCCATCTAGCAAGACCTTGCTCTCCTTTGATGTTTCTATTAGTTTTTCTTTATTCTTTAGATTGTTAAAAATAGCTGATTTTTTATTTTACTCGTAAAAATTCTTTCATGTATTCTTACATTTTTAAATTTTATTTCACTTAAACATTTTACTTTTATTTTTAACATTTTTGTTTTTATTAATTTTAATGTATTTAAATTATTTTACAAATGTATTTTTTATTTGAATGGATTTTTACACTTTATTTTTATACCTTATTTTTAAATTTTTATTTTGTTACTTAATTTCGTTTTTGAATGTTATTTTAACTGTTTAAATTTGTTTTAATCATGTAATTCTTATTCACCTGATTTTTAATTTTAAATTTTATTTTTTCACTTTTTAAACATTTTATTTTTATTTTTCCCACTTTTAAAATTGGAATTCCTGAATTTTTCTTGTCAATTTGTAGGGCTTCCTTGTATTACCTAGATATCAATCCCATGTTCATTTTGACACAAAAAAAATCTTTTTTAATCTGACTTTGTAGAGTCCTCACCTTTGGAGAGTAGAAATCATTGCTTACCATGCTGTCAGTGTGGTCAAATCCATTGGTTTTTGAGTGGGGAGAGGGGGCTTGTTCTGCCTTATGGTCTGGGTTTTCTGATCTTATTAAAAAGTCTGTATGAGAAGGTCTTACAAGAAGTCACCCCAGAGCCAGGTGCATTGACTCTCGCCTGAAATCCCAGCTACTCACGGGGCTGAGGTGGGAGGATGGCTTGAGCCCAGGAGTTCGAGGCCAGCCCGGGCAATGTGGTGAGACCCCTTCTTTTAAAATAAACAAGCAAAGTCACACTCCAGAGTGTGAGCTTGGATCTGCTACTCCTCAACATTGGACCACCCTTCCCGCGAGGGATTCTTCCAAGTGTTAGTGCTGCTGCAGCAGCCCTCGGGCCTTCCTGAGGACGCTAGTGGGACGCTCAGTTGCGACAATGCTCCTCTGTCCACGCCCCTTCCTGACTGTGCCCTAGGATCACAGCCTGCAGTTGGCACGCATCTGCGGAGCATGTGCTGCTAGCCAGACCCTGTCCTTGGGGTCCCCTTTCCCCTACTCTGATGGAGGTAGTAAGCTCAACAGCAGTGAATTTTCCTCTAAGAGAGACATCAGCTGGAGACTCCCTGCCCCTGGAGGCGAGTGACATTGGCTTGAACAACACCCCACAGGGGCTCAAAATCCCCCACAAGGAGAATCCTCAGCCAACAGCTTACACTTCCCGCTCGCCCCTGGCTGAGGGCTGCTTTGGCTGAACCAGTTCAGTTTGTGGATCATCTCATTCTCTTGCATCAACAACTCCCCACCCCAGGAAGAGAGAGAGGGAAAGAGAGAGAGAGACTGAGAAAGAAAGAAGAAAGAAAAAGAAAGGAAGGAAGGAGGGAGGGAGGGAGGAAGGAAAGAAGGAGGGAAGGAAGGAAAGAAGGAAGGAAGGAAGGAAAAAGAAAAGAGAAAGAGAAAGAATGAAGGAAAACATACACTTGGGATGTTTGTGTGCAAAGCCAGCTTTTTTGACTGTCTGGAGGTTGCTACTAAGGGCTCCATCCCTGCAATGCAAACAGTTCCAGACTAAAGGCACTTGGAGTAGCCTTCCCCTCCTGCCTTCACTTGGCTGATATAACTCCTGTCTGCCCCCACAAACAGTTTAGGGTCCATCCCTGGTGTGCCTCGGGACCTGAGAGACGTATGACTTTAAATAGCATTTGTCGGCCTTTGGAAGCCCAGCTGGCAGGGGTTGGCAGGGAGGGGTGACGGACCACAAGGCAGGCTCCTCTCCAGTAGTTAGGAGCTGGGCTCAGTTTTGCATTCCTCCTGGCTCCTCCTGTGAATGCTTGGGCCAAGCCCTTTACCTCTCCGAGCCTCAGTTTTCTCATCCCTGCCAATGGAGTAAGTGTAGCCCCCACCTTGTGGGGTTATGGCAAGTTTTAATGATTTAGTACAAGGACCTGGGTGGCACAGGTCCTGGCACACTGTGAACACTCAGCCAGCATTAGCCTAGTTCTGTTTTTTGCAGTTCTGGTCCCTTTGAAAATCGGCCAGAGCTCCCAGAGGCCCGCGTCTCCAGCTGGGGGTGGGGTAGGACAGCCTGTAGCTGCTTATCTTGGTTCCAGCCCAGAATCCAGGTTATAACTGGGTAAGAAGGGTTATGGTTTCCACTTCGCGGATGAGGAAACTGAGGCCCACTAACAGTGAGTGCAGAATTTCCATGCCTGTGCAGGCCCAGGTCCCTCTAGCTGCCTGGATTTGGGTTTGGTGGAGATAGTGCCCCCAGGGCCAGGAGAGGTTTCCAAGGTGGAGCCCCCAACTCCCTGTGTTCCTGCCACCCCCACCATGCACTGGGTCTCTTTCCCCTTTTCTCATTCAACTCCTCCCTACTGGCATCCTACCATTTATTGAGCACCTACAATGCACCAGAGGCTTTGTATGCATTGCCCACAACCTTAGGATCCTCCTACCTGGTGAGTGTTTGCCATATGAGCTGGGCACACAGCCAGGTGCTCCGCAGGTTATTACCTCACTTTACCCTGCAAGCAATTCTTTAATATCATCATTCCTATTTTGCAGAAGAGGTGCAGAGACTCAGAGAGGTCAAAGGGCCTTCCTAGGGTCAAGGTGGCAGAGCTGGGACTCAAACCTGGGTTCCCTGCTGCCTGGTGCTGCCTCCCATCTCTCTACTTCCAGGGGCTGGGCAGTTAGTCTGGGAGCCTGGACTGGGTGGAATGTCACGGTTGTGAGAATAGGTGACTCTACTACCTATTCTCAACTTGGAAAACGACTTAGGGAGCCACCCAGATACTGCCTTGGGTTTCACACCAGCTTGGGAGATGGGGGCCGGAGGGTATGCAGTCTGCTTAAAATAGCAACTAGAGGAACTCAGAACAAGTACTTCATCCCAGCAGCTGCAAAAGTCAAGAGGCAACAAGAGGTCAAGGAATCACATTTTGAACCAATGACCAGGAGAGGCAGAAGCGATTTGGGGCATTTATGGAGGAGGCTGTGGGGTAGACACAGTCATGGGATTCTAGGTCTAGGCCTCTTAAAAGCTGAGATCTGGCTGGGCGCAGTGGCTCTCGCCTGTTATCCCAGCACTTTGGGAGGCTGAGTCGGGTGGATCACTTGAGGTCAGGAGTTCAAGACCAGCCTGACTAACATGGTGAAACCCCATCTCTACTAAAATTACAAAAATTAGCCAGGCATGGTGGTGGGTGCCTGTAATCCCAGCTACTAGGGAAGCTGAGGCAGGAGAATTGCTTGAACCTGGGAGGCAGAGGTTGCACTGAGTCGAGATCACACCACTGCACTCCAGCCTGAGTGACAGAGCAAGACTGTGTCTCAAAAATAAATAAATACATAAATAAAACAGCTAAGATCTGTCTAGCATGTGCTATGTGCTGCACTGTGGACTGAGTCACTTACCCTTTAATCTTCATGATAACCCATGAGCAGAGCTTGTCTGTCCACCCTCCCTGGATCCACCCACTTCTCATAGCTGCCAGCCTCGTCCAGGCCACCAGAATGACCACAGCCCATACACCCTGAGCTCCCAGCTTCTACTCCTGCCCCACAGTCCATTCCCCTCAGCACCAGAGAAGCTTTCAAGGTGGCAGACACTCCTCGGCTTGCAACCCACAGTGGCTTCCCAACTCACTTCCAGGAAAATCCAGCACCATCCAAACTCATCCATGTGTCCTGGGGGTCTGGCCCCTCTGCCTCCAGACCTCACCACCCACCACTCTCCCCTCAGTCACTGCACTCTGGCCTTGCTGCTCTCTTCCACACCACGTTCTTTGCCGCTTCTGGGCTTTTGTACCCACTGGTCCCTCCGCCAAGAGTGCTTTCTTGTGTATCTCAGAGATGCCCTTCCAGGCAGCCCAGGCCCTCCCTCCTGCCACTCTGTGTACCCAAATTCAATTCCCTGTCGTTCTCTGAAATGATCTCCCTCTCCCACTTAGGATGTAAACTTCATGAGGGGAAGGTCTGTCTCATTCACTGATGTATCTGCAGTGCCTTGAAAAGTGCCTGGCACATAGTAGGCCCTCAATAAATATCTGTGGAAGGAACAAGCTTTTCAGTGGGTGGGTGATTGTGTCCATTTTAATCTTGTTTGTTTTTGAGACAGGGTCTCTCTCTGTCACCCAGACTGGAGGGCAATAGCACGATCTTAGCTCATTGCAGCCTTGACCTCTTGGGCTCAAGCAGTCCTCCCACCTCAGCCTCCTGAGTAGCTGGGACTATAGGCACGCATCACCATGCCTGGCTAATTTTTTTTTTTTATTTTCATAGAGATAAGGGTCTCACTATGTTGCCCAGGCTGGTCTCAAATTCCTGGCCTTAAGTAATCCTCCCACCTCAGCCTCCCAAAGTGCTGGGATTACAGGTGTGAGCCACCGCACCTGGACAGTGTTCCTTTTACAAATGAGCAAACTGAGGTTAAGTAACTGTCCCAGGGAGTAAAGGTGGGGCTGGGATTTGAGAACAGGTTTGTCTCATCCCAAACCTTGGAGTCCTACCTCTACCCTCTAAGGCTGCTGCCCAGCAGGACTAATTGAAAGCTTCCTGTCTAGGAAGGACAGGGTAATCATAAGAGATGTGTCATTTGGAATAGCAGTGCCCCAACCATCCTCAGGCCCAGAGCAGGGTGCAGCAATGGATGTAGCAGACCTGGGCTACCCAGACAGGGGCCAGGGGCCAGGCTGTGCACTAGCCCAGACAGAGAGGACCAGCTGGCTGGAGATAAAGAATCAAAGGTGCCCATCCAGAGGTCTGAGTTCTAGCTCCTCCCCTCCCATGACTCACTGTGTGGCTTCTAACAAGTGCCTACCCCTCTCTCAACTCAGGACACTTCCTGTAAAATGCTGTTACTACCTCAGGCTACAGATAATAGACTCTGCCTAATTGCCTTCTCAAAAGAGGGTGCCGGAGTCTTTTACAGTTTCCGTATCTTGTAGGTCATGGTGGTATTTCATTCTTGTTCTCATCTTCAATTTGAAAATTCTTAGGGAAGTAGAACAGCTTTGCGTATGGTTATTGTCCTATTTGTCTTTCTTTTTTAAATTCCTTGTAATGTCTTTGCCCATTCTCCCTCCACACACTTGGATCATTCCCCTTTTTCTTATTGATTTATAGGAGCTCGTTGTGTATTAAGGATATTCTTGGCTTACTTTGTGTGTAACTGGCTTAATGATGATACTGAAGTTGTAACAGAGGGTTACAAACATGGCATGCTTTCCATGCACCCCCCACCCCCCACCCCCAATGCACAGTCGTATTTTTAAACTCCAATCCTTAATAACTTTGGGCAGATCTCAAAGCTTTCTGGTAACTTTCAGCTATTAAAAAGCCTAGTCCAGTGCTGAATTTTTAAAATACAGGTCTGATTTGAAGCTCTCCTTTCCCATCACTGCTTCCCCATCACTGCCTGACTCAGCTTCTGACTCCACTGATTTGCCCTGTAGGGAGATATGTCATGCTGTCTCATTCTCTTCTCTCCTCCCTCTGGGTTGATTTCTCCCCTGTATGTTGGGGAGCAGAAGAAGGAATGGGGATAGAGACAGCTGTCACTACCCTGATGCTGCTGTGGCCTCCACAATTCCCGGTGTTAGAAAACTCTGGGGCCATCACCAGTGAGCAGCAGGGAGGGACTGGGACTAAATGTTCCTCTGCCTCCATCCATGCCCTCCCCTTTCTCCCACGTGTGGCAGGTGCCTAATTGGTACACAGGTGTGATTACTGAGCAAGGAGCACGAGCTTGACCTCTTCAGATCACCCTAGCTTCCTCACTACCCCATCCCCACTTCAACAGCCTCATGCCCCTTTGGGCTGGAAAACCATGGCTTAGATTAAGCTCAAGAGCCTCCTTCAATGTCCACTTGACCAAATATAGGAAATTGACAGGAAATTGGTCAAATGGTGGCAATGCAGGCTGCCTCTGCCAGACCCCACCCCTTTTGCATTTCTCATTCATTCTCCACTCACTCCCAATGGACACAGGGCAGATCAACAAGAGTGAGTTCAATCAAGGGATGGAATGCCTGTTTCCCTCTGGTTCATAGCTTCTCCCCTCCAAACCATGAGCCCACCTGGGCTTGGGAGTTGGGGGCATGCCGTGCCCTACCCTGCCCCAGTCACTGCTGGCCAATCCTCCTTAGATCCTCTTTAGAAACTGGCTTATATGGGCTGGGGAGGCAGTGGGGCAGGTCAGGGATGGGGGTGACAAAGATAGTTGGCCCCCTCTCAATAAGTCCTAGAGAGGATGTCTGACTCCAATCTCAGACTCGGAGGCAGCTCTCTTTAGAACAGCAAAATATGTCCTATTCATTCTTACATCCAATAAACATTTTACAGAGCACCTAGTAGACATGTGGCCCCATGCATGGCATTGGAGAGTCACTGGTGAACAAAAGTCCTGGGGAAATTTACATTTCCAATCCAGTATGATTTTGTATGTCTTTCTAAAATGTTTCTACAGGTCTGTGATTTGTCTTTTAACTTTAATAAATAAAGGATCCTGGCACATAGATGATATTCAAGAAATATCTGCTGAATGGATGGATGGACGGATAGATGGTTGGGTGGATGATGGGTGGGTGGGTGGATAGATGGATGGATGGATGGATAGATGAGTGGGTGGGTGGATGGATGGATAGATGGGTGGGTGAGTGGATGGATATATGGGTGGGTGGATGGATGGATGGATGGATGGGGATGGATAGATGGGTGGGCAGATGGGTAGGTGGGTGGGTGGATGGATGGATGGATGGATGGATAGATGAGTGGGTGGGTGGATGGATGGATGGATAGATGGGTGGGTGAGTGGATGGATAGATGGGTTGGTGGATGGATAGATGGGTGGGTGATTGGATGGATAGATGGGTTGGTGGATGGATGGATGGGTGGATGGATGGATGGATAGATGGGTGGGTGAGTGGATGGATAGATGGGTGGGTGGGTGGATGGATGGATGGATGGATGGATGGATGGGGATGGATGGATGGATGGATGGGGATGGATAGATGGGTGGGCAGATGGGTAGGTGGGTGGGTGGATGGATGGATGGATGGGTGAACAGTGGGCCTTTAGAAACACTGAGTTTAACCATCCATTTGACAGATGGAGAAACTGAAGCCCAGAGACAGGGAGACACTTGCCTGAGGACACACAGAACTGGACAAGAGTCCACATCTGGGGCTCTCTCCCTTGTACTACTAGGATTTGAGTGTTGAAGAAGGCCCATGGGGAGAGACCAGACCCAGAATAGGGTCCTTGAAGATGCTCACTTTGTGCCAGGTGTGATTACTGGGCAAGGAGCATGGAGCATTGGGCTGGAGGCCCAAACTGCATTCCCAACTCTCTGCCACCCCTTGGAAGCTCCAGGTACCCAGGGTGCTGGCTGAGAAGAACTGGGGCTTTCCCAGGAACACTGGCAGGGACACACTGACCAAGGACCTGCCTCAGTCAGCGCTGACTTTTAGACCTGGCCCCCTTTCCTGATGCTCACTGGCAGTGGGGCCCCAAGTCTTCTCAGCACTGGGAGCTGATTATATTTCTCAGCTTTCTTTTTTTCTGAGACAGAGTCTCACTCTGTCGCCCAGGGTGGAGTGTAGTGGCATGATCTCGGCTCACTGCAACCTCTGCTGCCCAGGTTCAAGTGATTCTCCTGCCTCAGCCTCCCAAGTAGCTGGGATTACAGGTGCGCACCACCACACCTGGTGCAGGTGTTTTGTGTTTTTAGTAGAGACGGGGTTTCACCGTCTTGGTCAGGCTGGTCTTGAACTCCTGACCTCATGATCCACCCGCCTCAGCCTCCCAAAGTGCTGGGATTACAGGTGTGAACCACCGTGCCTGGCCTATTTCTAAGCTTTCTTAGAGCTTAATTATGTAAGGTGAGGAGGGTATTTATTTTGGACCTATTCTGGGGCCTAGACTCTCCCCAGTACTTAAAATAATAATAACTATCTGTTACTAAGACTGCCTGGCTTTGAGTTTGCCACTCACCAGCTATGGGATCTGGGCAACTTACTTACCTTCTCTGTGCCTTAGCTTCCTTGTCCGCAAGACCAGATAATACTACCCATCTTGCAGGATTGTTGAGGCAGTCTGGCCTGTGAAAGAAGAGATCCACAACTGCTAGCAGCTCCCACATTGCTGTGCACCCCATGTCAGCCAAACCCTGTTTTGGCATGCCACACACAAAACCAGCTTACCACACTGTCACAACATGTGAGCATAGTCGTTATCCCCATTTACAGACGGGAAAACCAATGCTCAGAGAAGCTAGTGTGGGAATGAACCCAGGCTCCAGAGTCCCACAAAATTATATCACCTGCCTTGCAGCCATTAGCACTGTGGAACTCTGGGGTTCAAAGGTTCCTTAGGGGGTATCCAAGCTCTCAGAGGCTGCCTCTAGAAGTAGGCAAAGGAAACCAAAAAGACAGCTCAAGATGCTCACCCTCACCCCCATCCTGGCCTCAGCCAAAGCAGCTCAACTCATTCATTTTAGGAATCGATCTCTCATGTCACATTTCATCTTGCAAAAAGGAAGGCTCCCTTGGCTAAGAAAAAGTTCAAAAGTTCTTTATCAAGACCAAGGCTCTGCTTTTCCGATAGGAAACTGCATTCCCAACTCTCTGCCACCCCTTGGAAGCTCCAGGTGCTCTGCCAAAGGTCATACAATGAGTCTGAGTCCAAGGTGGGACAGGAGCAAAGGTCCTAATTCCTAGCCCTGAGCTCTGTTGATTGCAGGACTTCACAAAAAAGTGAAGAAGGTCGTTTGCAGAACAAACTTCAAAACCTGGTACCTTTCTCACTCGGGCTCATCTTAGGAATCAACGAGCTTTCAGCTCCCCTTAGAAGGTTTCCTCCCACCCTTCCTGGAATCCTGGAGCTCACATCCTCCCCAGAGGAGGCCTCCTGGGTTTGTAGCGGTGGGCGTTGCCCCCAATCCCTGTGACACTGAGCATCCTGATTGGCTGGAGGTGTCCTGCCACTGCAGACGTCCTACTCAGCCAAAGCTGAAGCTTCCACAGCCTCCCAAAGAGCCACGAGAGGCCTCTGCTACCATCAAGAGCCCTGAGGAATCATAAACCCCCGACAAGAGGGAGAGGGAATTAGCAGCCAGCATTTATTGTCCCCAGTATTGCTGGGCACGTCATACACAGGCCTCAGGGCACTTTACAACAACCAAAGTAGGCTCAGAGAGGATGCGAGAGGCAACAGACCTACCCGAGGTCACATCAGACCAGCCCACTACGGGACAAAGCCAGCACCTGAAAGAACCAGAACCTGTCTGAGTCTACTTTGCAGCCCTGAGGAGACATTCGGCAAGTACTCACTGAGCACCTACTGGGTGCCGGGCGCTGTTATTACAGGAGCAGCAGCCAAGCACAGTGCCTGTCAGCAACTTTTTCAAAGTCACCCACACAGCAAACCTGTCCCTCATACATGAAAAGAAAAGAAACTCTTCTCCAGTAGTTTTTCAAATGAGTGGCAACTGCATATGCTTGACAACTTCATGGCAGTTTTACCTATAGGACAATTGCATGACAATTTCTTATACAAGGTCACATACTTGACAACATTGTGACACCTTCACACACAAGACAGTTTTGTAACAACTCCACGGACAGATTGGTTGGTAACAGTTTCATGCTCAGGACAGCTTTGTGACAGTTCTGTGTTCCTGGCTAACAGGGCACTAGCTCTGGGCAGGTGGGTCTGGAGAAGCCAGCTGGAGGGTAGACTCTCTGCCCCGGTCCCGAACTCATCTGGCTGCTCTACCCCCAGCACAGCTTGCCGAATGATGAGGAATCCAAAAACAACCCTTTTTTCTTTAATATGATTTTTCTGAAGGTCACCAGTGGTTGCTCTGGGCTGCTCAGCACCCCCAGGGCTCCCACCAGAAACACAAATGTAACTTCTCTTAATGAGTAGCTAATGGAGGGCAGAATAGATGTGGTCCAGGGCAGGTCCAGGAGAATGGGGAAGCAGAGATTTGGTTGATGTGGGGTGGGAAGTGGGGGATGCCAGGCACCAGCAGCCTGTTCTCACTGTGTCAACCCCTGATTTGGGCCCCAGCCGAGCCCTGCAGGACCAGCATAGGGCAGGGGCTCAGGCCTTCTCTATGCTTTAATGTGGGGACAGGCAGATCCTTTAGACAGGGGTCTCGTGTGTCGGCACATACCTGCCCCTGTCCCCCAAACACACACATGTCGGGCACACATGAACCCAGCCCTTCCTTTTTCTGCCATGCTGGGCCTGGCAGGGACTGTCCCCAACTCAGGCTGCTTGGGGAAATGCCCCTCCTATGAGTGGCGAAAGGAGTCAGGTTGCCCATTTGATATTTTATTTTTATTTTATTTTATTTTATATCTTATCTTTTTTGAGACAGCGTCTCACTCTGTCGCCCAGGCTGGAGTGCAGTGGTGCAATCTTGGCTCATGCAACCTCCGCATCCTGGATTCAAGCGTTTCTCATGCCTCAGCCACCTGAGTAGCTGGGATTACAGGTGTGCACCACCACGCCCAGCTGATTTTTGTATTTTTAGTAGAGACGGGGTTTTGCCATGTTGGCCAGGCTGGTCTCGAACTCCGGGCCTCCTATGATCTACCTGCCTCAGCCTCCCTAAGTGCTGGGATTACAGGCGTGAGCCACTGTGCCTGGCCAGGTTGCCCCTTTTGAGTATCACTCCCATTTTCCCGCTCCACGTTCATCATCAGACCAACAGGGTAAGGCAGTGTGACACAGTAGAATGAGTCTGGGGTTTCATCAGCTGTGGGTTTAAATCTAATGCCACCACCTATAATTGTTGGTCTTTGAGCCTTCACTTCCTGAACCGTAAAATGAGGAATGATAACAGCATCTCCCGCCTCGCTTCTTAAAGTGAGTTCTCGGGCCAGCACCTCTGGCCCCATTCCAGAACTTTAGCATCAAAATCTACATTTTAACCCAAGATCCCTGAGTTAAATCCCTTTGTGTGCATATTACAGTTTGGGAAGCCCTGGCTGATCTCACAGGACAGTTTTTGAAGATCTCTGAGTTCATGCACGTACAACCCTGGGCACACCATAAACGTTAAAACAACCGCATGTGTCGAGAGGCGACAGCACCTCTTGTTTTTAATAAGCAGCCTCAGGTGATTCTGATGGGGATTGAAATCTGAGATCACCACTGGCCATGAAATCAACAAATGTGAGTTTGAACCCCGGTTTTACCACCACCCTCTCCACCCCTGCAACCAGCCCATATAGGTCAACGTCTAAAAAGGATTCTGGCCAGAATGTCCAGCAGAGGCTGCAACTTAGCAGGTAATTTTTCTTCATCCTCCCCAAGTCCCAGCTGCGAGGCAGGAGACTCACTCCTGGAGAATTTGAGAGACGGAGTGGGCATTTCACCCCTTGATTGAACACACACCTATTGATCTGCTCACTCTCTACTGGGGGTGAGGGGAGGATGGATGAGGAATGCAGAGGGGGCATGTTCAGTCCTGGGGCAGCCTGCACTGCCACCATTTGGCCAATTTCCTGTCTCAGGTGAGGTCAAGCGGACACCGAAGAAGGCCTCAGCACAGCACTGGGAACTTAGCAAGGCGTCAGTAGGTAAGGGACTCTGCATGGAGGACTGAGGAGGCGCACAGGGATATGTTGAGTAGCCAGGCTGCAGTGTGGCAACCTGAGGATAACCCTCAGGTTCAGAGTCACACTGCCTGGGTTTGAATATCTGCTCCACTTATTAAGTGACCTCGGGCAAGCAGCATCATTGCTCTGAACCTCAGTTTCCTCCTTTCTGAAATGGGTGTGATAATAGCACCTAAATGAGTTTTGCAGCCCCTCTATGCGGAATGGTAAGCAGCTATAAAACAAAGAATTGGTTAAGTGAGAAGGCAGGTGCTGCATAAGTGAGAAGGTCCAGTGTGCCGTGGCTCATCCCTGCCTTCCTGGAACTCATCTTTCACTGGTGGGAAAGAGACAACAGCACTTGCCAAATTTAGAACCTATCAGGTGGGAATAAATGGCATGAAGAACATAGCGACGTGGGAGAGGAATAGGGTGTAGGTGTGGTGCTGCTGCAGGCAAGAGGTCTGGGGGCATCACAGGGAAGGGGTGTTCTGTGAAAGGGCCGTATACATAAAGCGACCCCAAATGCAGAAGGAGCTGGGAAACCAAAGAATGAGGCAGCCAATTCCAATTTGTTGGTAAAGGGTTATTAGTTGGGGAACTTTTGAACAGAGCAAGATTTGGGCAGCCTCAAGATAGGTAGATCTCCAAGCTGTAACTCTCCAGACCCAGGGCTTACATATCTTGGGGAGAAAGGTCTGCGTGCTCTGGGAGGAGTGCACAGGTGACTGACATTGTGCTATGGGTGTCATAGCCTATGCTTCCTGCAGCAGCATCAAGGTTTGTTTTGGAGGAAAAGTGAAACCCGCAGCAAATAAGTGTTTCTACGTAGAGAGTAATGCTTCAGCTAGACATCTTGGAGGCATTACTGGACTCAGGGTTAGTCAGGAGTTGACGTGGCAAATTAGTATCTAAGAAGGAATCACTCTTGTCCCCACAAGGAGACATTTGAGGGAGGGAGCCTTGCGGGTGAATGTGGGAAGGGCATTCCAGACAAAAGGAAGAGCAAGTGCAAAGGTCCTGTGGTGGGAGTGGTCTTGGCAGATGGGGAACATGGAGGATGAGGCCAGCATGGCCAGGGAAGGTGAGTGGTGGGGAAACAGGGCAGGAGCAGGGAACGGGGTAGGGACAGGAAAGGTGGAGAAATTATTCCCAGACATATTTCAGAAGTGGAACTGACCGGATTCCTGATGGGCCAATAGTAGGATATGAGGGAGAGAGAAGAGACAAGGATGCCGCTGAAGTCTTTGGCCCTGAGTGGAGTAGCCATTGACTGAAATGGACAGGAGAAGCAGGTTTGGAGGGCAAAGGATGAAAAGTTTCCATTTTGGATGTGTGCCTATTCTTACTGTATTTTGAGGGTCTTATCCATTAGCCCCTTAGGTGTCCTGTATTGGCACCTTAGCGGGGATTTGCCATCTGCTCCTTGCTCAAGCCCCTCCCTTTCTACCAAATGAGTACAATATCATCTTGTACTCACCTCTCTTAGAAACCTTTCTTCCATCTACACAAACTAGTCCTGCTCCTGGCCTCAGCTTCTGTCCCCACATCTGCCTCCCTAGAAAACCACCCCTGATGTCTCCAGTCTCTGGACTTTCACTCCCACCTTGCCTGGGTCCTTCACTTGTCTCTGAGCCCTGCTGGGCAGAGGTCATCAGCTTTCTCCACATTCGTATGGGCCTGGTCCTCCCAAATAGGCTGTGAGCCCCCTGAGAGCAGTTTTTGAGAACCTTTATTGAGCCACCGTTCATGCATTCATTTAAGAAATAATGAATGGGCATAATGGGTATAATCACAAATGGGTAGTCAGTGGGCACCTACAATGTGCAGGGCCGTGGGGATTTAAAGGTGAGCAAGCCAAGCTGGGCCCAGCCCTCAAAGGAGCATCTCTCATGAATCAAGTAGTAATGGAGTGCTCATTCATCTGCCGTGAGCTGTGCTAAGCACTTTGCGCAGATGAGTTCATGGCATCCCCACAACTGCCTGGGAGGTGGTTGCTACTATCGTCCCCATTTTACAGAAGAGAAGACCAAGGCTCAGAACAGTAAAGCCACTTGCCCAATATCACCCAGCTAGGAAGTGGTGGTTTGTCAGGCCCCAAAGCCAAGGCAACCTCAACATTCTGCTGAATGTTCTGCCCTGCTGGTCCCCCCACCTCCTGAGTGCTGAGAAGGGTCCAGTGGGCTAGCGACCTCTAGCCCTGATCCCAGGGAGTCTCTAAGCTGGGAGTCATCTCCAGGGCCCACCCCCTTGCTAGAGATGGTGCAATCTACCCCTAGGCAGAAATGTGCTGGGGGATCTTCTGAGCAAGCCTCCAGCAGTGGCGACTGCCTCCCATATGTGGAGGCCTGAGTGGGCAGGCGGGTGCCCAGATGTTTTTTATTTCCCTTGGTCATCGGTGACATGCGTCCTGCACTGCCAGGCGGGCATCGGAGGATGCGCTGCCCAGCACTGTCTGTGTAGGGCCCTCCTGCATGGTTCTGGGTCCTCCCCAAGGACAGAGCAGGGACCTCAGCAGGGGCAGTGGTGTCTTTCTCTCTTTCCCCATCCTTCTTAGCCCTGGGGAGTCCTCCAGGACAGCTGTATTAAATCCTTAGTTCACCATGACATGATGTTCTCATGCAAGACACACTTCCCAGGGCACACCCCAATTATGAAGAAACTCTACCCCCAAAAATGTTGGCATCAAAACCAAAAACTCTGCACTGATTGTCAAAGCAGTTCCAGGATCACAAATGCCAACACAGGCAGGGCAGGTGGTGATAATAATGGTAGTAACAGTGATGTCATGGAGACCCGCTTGACTGTCAGCCCTGCCAGGCCCCCACAGCACACCTGTGAGGTCAGCCAGGAGGATTCTTGTTTTACAGATGAGAAAACTGAAGCACAGTGAGGTTAAGGCACTGGGTCAAGGTCACATGGCAAAGGTAAGGGGCAGAGCTGAAATTTCAATCCAACCAGTCTGGCTCTTAACCCTGTTCCACACTAGTAGTTCTCAAAGTGTGGGCCCAGGACCAGCAAAGGTCAGCATCACCTGGGAACCTGTTAGCAATGCGGATTCTCAGGCCCTGCCCAGACCTAATGAATCAGCAACTCTAGGGTAAGGCCCAGCAGCCTGTGTTTTTAACAGGCTCTCTAGGTGAATCTGATGCATGCCCAAGTTTGAGAACCCCTGCTCTACATTGTTTTCTATTGTGAGTGAGTGAAGTGGGTGTTAAGATGTAGCTCAAGGATGATAACATAGGGCAGCTGACCTTTTCCCTCAGTATCTGAAATACAATAGGGAGGGGTAGGGTCTGCAGTAACCTGGGGAACATATGCCTTATTTATGTAACTCTAACCACTCACTGCCCTGTGACAGCAGACCCAGTGTTGGTAGATGTTCTGACTTTTTCCAGAGAAGTTCAAATTCCAGCTTTTTAATGTGAAATCTCTTGATTTTTTAAATGCTAGAAATCTATCCAAATTAGTCTTGTTTTTTTTAAAAAAAATGTATGGGGCTAGGCTTTCTGGCTTGGGTATTAAGGAAATTTCAATGACAGATTCACTGGGCTACTGAGGAGACGAGCTTGCCTAGGAGAACATGACATTTTCAGCGTCCCAGATGTCACCCTGCATTTTTGACCCCTCAGGGAAGTTCTGCAGAGTGAAGGCAGATGGAAGGCATGATATGGCAGAGATGACCCTAAGTTCACTCAAAACCCTGAAATGGAAAAAAAAAATACAGCGATCACTTGCACATGTTGAGCCGTTGACTCCTGTTGAAACAAGGTGCTTGGGGCAGTTCTCAGGATGTGGGTGAACCTGAGCTTAGGGACCCTTATTTGAAGGGCACAGGTTATTCCCTATTCCCAAAAGAAGGAATAAGCCTGCCCTTCACCTAGGACCAAAGCTGCTGGCTAGTATCTCTGCCCTGAGCACTTCACCATCCAGAGGGCAAAAGACCATGTCCCTGGACCCTGCTGGCCTCCTTCCAGCCTCACCAACATCTCTGGCTTTTGTTTGCTCACCTGGGAAAGAGGACAAGGGTCCAGATGTTGGTTGACAGTCCCACTGTGTGTCATGATGGTGAGGGAACAGGGAGGGAACCTAGGTTTACAGAGGAGCACCTACTGTGTGCCAGTGCTTGCTGGTTTGCACATCCCTCATAACAAATCACGTGGAGGTAGGAATTGCTGCCACAATTTTTCAGATGGGGAAACTGAGGCCCACAGAGACGAGGGATCTCATTCAATGAGTGATGGGGCCAGGATATCAACCTGGGAACCTGCATTGTTACACGTCTTTAGATTTTTAAGTCCCTTGAGGGCAGAAAACACATCATTCTCAATATAATAATGGTAGCTTCAGTTTATCAGATGCCTGCTGCAGGTGGTCTGAGCTAACAGTTTTTCACGTACCATCTCCTTTAATCACAACAGCCCTGCAAGATAAGCATTATTATCCCCATTTACAGCTGGAAAAACTGAGGCTTGTAGAGGTAAAGTACCTTGCCCAAGGTCACACAACTGCCCCAAAGCTCATAACCATTGAGTCCTAGCACTGGACCTTACCCAGAATAGGGGCTCAGTAATTGTTGAATGAATGGGTCGATGAATGAATGAATGGATCACTCAACCCTGGGTTAATGCACGCATTCAGAGTTGTCATAAGCCTTTATCACTTTGCAAACTGTCAAATCTGGTGTGTTTGATTCCACTCTCATTCTCCATAAAATGGACATCCAAATCTGGACTCATCCCTCGGGTGCTTGGGGAAACATGGAGTGACTCAGATTTCATTCTAAGCCTCTCCAGCTGCTGGAGCAACACAGGGCCATGCTTTTGTGGCCTACTGGTGTTTTGACTGAGGGAGGATGGTCTTGAT